>NC_000012.12:111551037-111702552 GCF_000001405.40 Homo sapiens
CCTGTAATTCCAGCACTTTGGGAGGCCGAGGCGGGCGGATCACGAGGTCAAACAATCGAGACCATCCTGGCCAACATGGTGAAACCCTGTCTCTACAAAAAATACAAAAATTAGCTTGGTGTGGTGGCACACGCCTGTAGTCCCAGCTACTCAGGAGGCTGAGGCAGGAGAATCGCTTGAACCTGGGAGGCAGAGGCTGCAGTGAGCCGAGATCGTGCCACTGCACTCCACCCAGGGGACAGAACAAGACTCCGTCTCAAAAAAAAAAAAAAAAAGAATTTGAGAACCAAGTTCAGGATTGCCCAGAAGTGCCTTGCAACGTGTTACTGAACACTCAATAATGCCTTGCAAATGAGTAACAGGAATTCCCACTTTGTTCATCAATGGACACTTAAAAAGAGACTAAATTTTTAATATAACTACATAATCGCTTTTAAATTCTCAAAACCTTGTCTCATACTCTGAATATTTTTAAAATACGTATGTTCTACTTCTTCACCCTTTTTCATTTTCATTAGACAATTGTTTTCTACCAACCGTTCTCTACCTTTCTTCCTTAGCCTTATACTTTGATTTCTTTCCAGATTTGCCACATGCCCACTTATAAACTAAAGCATTGTAGGCCAAATGGGACAAGAAATTTTCAGTTGAATATAATCAGTAGCATTCTTGACCACAAAACTGTAGAAAATGCTTTACAAACTAATTTTTTAAGAGATCACAAAAACTCTATTTAATTTTTCTCTAAAGTTCTAATTGTTTTCCAACAAAAATGCATTAACATTCTCATTTTTCTAAAAAATTACCTTACTTGGGCTATTCTAGAAAGTAGATATTTCTTTTTTCTTTCTTTTTTTTTTTGAAACGGAGTCTTGCTCTGTCACCCAGGCTGGAGTGCAGTGGTGCGGTATCAGCTCACTGCAACCTCTGCCTCCTGGGTTCAAGCAATTCTGTCTCAGCCTCCCTAGTAGCTAGGACTATAGGCGCACGCCACCACACACAAAAATAAATTTTTGTATTTTTAGTAGAGACGGGGTTTCGCCATGTTGGCCAGGCTGGTCTCGAACTCCTGACCTCAGGTGATCCACCCGCCTCAGCCTCCCTAAGTGCTAAGATTACAGGAATGAGCCGCCATACCCAGCCCAGATATTTCTTTAAAAAAAGTTTGTAAGATCACTGTGAAAATCTTTGCTTGAATAAATCTAATAAACCATGAGGCATATTTAGGAAATCAAAACCCACCTCTTTTTGCATAACTGGAGTCCATATCTTTAAACTGTACCACAACAAAGTCTGAACATTTGAACAAAATACTCTCCATTATTTCTTCACGTTTCGGCCCCGAACTGGATTCTGTACTTTTCTCATGTGCGGCATCAAGTACCAAATCACACTAAAATGAAAAACACAAGTAAGTACTCCAAACCTTTACAAAATAAAATTTGTTAGGAATTCTTTAGCTCATCAAGGTACCAGTTCTTATATGCCTTTGACAAAAATAATCTCAAGAGAATCATACCCTTTTTCCCAGGCATATGATCTATTATCCATTCCATCATTTAAAAATCCTCATATCTAAATGTTTTTTGTTTCTATGGTTTGTCTTAAGTACATTAATAATAATTTTTAAGAGGAAAAAACAAACCACCACATCCCTCTATTAGCTCACAATGCTTAAAAATGGTTGAAATATTTTAATAAGCACACACATCAAGAAGCCTCTCTGATTACACAAACCAGTCTATAAAATAATCAGTATTTGAAACTGAGAAGTAAAATCATTCAAAGTGGCTTTAAAAACTAGGTAAAACACTGACTATGAAAATGTTCTTTTACTTTGTAAGAAAAAGAAAAAAAGTAAAAATTACCTTCGGACTGTAAGTTTTAAAAACTCCTTCATATATACCTCCATTTTTCACTTGTACTTCACATTTGGAGCCCTAAAAACATATAATTTATTTATCAAAGAAACAGTATACTACCCGGTCACCAGGGATATTTGTTTTCATTTTACTTTTTATACCTCATCAGGCTTCATTCAATATTAGGTATTCACTAACAAAACAATAAAAAAATTTCAAAACATTAACAATACACTGAACTCTTGAAATTCTTCAGGAGGCTCTACTCAGAGTTTGCAGTACGAATTTTAATACTGAAGTCAAACATTTCTGACCCCAGCTATTTTAAGTGACAAAATAATGTACAAAAGACAATCAACTACTAACATTATTTTACACACACAGCAGGGTTAACAAGAATACAGCTATCTGTTGTTATTGGTAGGGGACTGGTTCCAGGACCTCCTTCAGATACCGAATTACATAATACTTAAGTCACTTACATAAAATGTAATAGTATTTGCATATAACTAAGCACATTCTCCCAAATACTTTAAACTATCCCTAAATTACTTGTAATACCTAATATAATGTAAATGCTATGTAAATTGTCATACTGTATTGTTTTAGGAATAATGACAAGAAAAACGTCCGTACATCTTTGGTTCAGACGCAACCATGCCTCTTTTTTCTCAAAAAAAAAAAAAAAAAAAAAAAAAAAAAAAATTTTTTTTTTTGAGAAGGGGTCTGTCTGGCACTGTTGACCAGGCTGAGTGCAGGGGCATTATCTCAGCTCAGTGAAACCTCCACCTCCCAGGCTCAAACAATCCTCCCACGTCAGCCTCCCAAGTCACTAGGACTACAGGCACGTACCACCACGTTCGGCTAGTTTTTTTACTTTTTGTAGAGACGGAGTTCTGCCATGTTGCCCAGGCTGGTCTTAAACTTGTGAGCTCAAGCCATCTGCCCACCTCAAACTCCCAAAGTGCTGGGATTACAGGCGTGAGTCACTGTGCCTGGCCTTTTTAACAAATATTTTTGATCCAAGGTTGGCTGAATCCATGAATATGGAACCCACAGATGCAGAGGACCAACTGTACTTTTACAATGAATTATATTAGACTGGATAAAAGGAGTTCTAATCTATTTCTCTAAATCATCCTGACTAAACATGATCTAAGCAATGTTACTTTGACAATCATTTATCCACATTTTAACTTCATGGAATTACTTTATTCTACCCCCAAGGCAGTTTATCCCCAATAATCTAATAACTTACAACAACTGATGTAAGTATATGAACCATCCTCATATTTGCATAGATTCCATCAAAAGAAATCTGGAATATTAAAAAAAAAAAAAACTATTAGAAATTAGTACAAACTGAATCTTCCTCATCTAAAATGCTTGGGACCAGAAGTATTTTAGACTGCGGATTTTTTTCGGATTTGGGGATATTTGCATTATACTTAGTGCTTGAACATCCCTAATTCAAAATATGAAATTTTGGAGCATTTCCGATTAGGGATGCTCAGCCTGTATTTACATTTGCATATAAAGCTAACGTTTATTATTTGTTGCAAAATGTTTAGTTAGGTTTATGATATCTTACATGTATTAAGGGAAGATTTTGTTTATTTAATATTTTGCTTCCATAGAGAACAGAAGGAACAGAAGGTCAGGTTTTCAAGTGTTATCAGTCAAACCAACTAATGGTGTTTTGACTAAACATGACATAAAAAAGCAAGAGTAAACTTCCATAGAGGAGGAAGGACACAAACCGTAAGGATGGAAGACAAATCAATGGTTGGAGAGAGAGGAGGGTTCACTGAAAAGTGATTTGAGGGATTTTGGTGGGCAATGAAACTGTTCTATTAACTTGATTGTGGTGGTAGTTACACTGATTGTATGCAATTGTTAAAACTCACAGAAATGTACCCTAAGAAGGGTGAAGTATAAATAAATGGGGTAGGAAGCCAGGTCATACCTTCATAGAAGAACCCTGACTAGGTTCTCCCAGCATATCAGCATCAGTGACAGTGCTTAAGTCTGATCAACCACACTACTCCATATTACTACCATATACGTGTATATCTTCCTGATTCTTGTAAAACAATCTAATAAAGGCAAAGTCTCAAAAATTTGTGATAGCTTCTCATTTATTTCTTCCATCATGTGGGACTTATAGTTTCTGCCCTTCATGTCCGGTTCAATTTCATTGATAACATTCCAAAATTTAAGACCAGAAAGCCAAAGGAGAAAAATGAAAGCAGCAGAAAAAAAGCACATTAATTCAAAATAAAAAGCATAAAGAACTCTGCAGACTCCACTCTTGGTGTTCTACGTATCTTTTGGAGGTTTTTCACTTAGATTTGCACTTAGTCATTTAGAAAAGAACAAGCGACTTGTTCTTGTTATTACACGTGACAAAAATACTATTTACAAATGATATGGTTTGGTTCTGTGTCCCCACCCAAATCTTATCTTTAATTATAATAATTCTCGTGTGTCAAGGGCAAGACCAGGTGGAGATAACTGAATCATGGGGGCAGTTTCCCCTACGCTGCTCTCATGATAGTGAGTGAGTTCTCAGGAGATCTGATGGTTTTATAAGGGGCTTTCCCTGCTTTGCTCAGCACTTCTCTCTCCTGTCGCTATGTGAAGAAGGATGTGTTTGCTTCCCCTTCCACCATGATTGTAAGTTTCCTGAGGCCTCCCCAGCAATGCAGAGCATGAGTCAATTAAACCTCTTTCCTTTATAAATTACCCAGTCTTAGGTATATCTTTATTAGCAGTGTAAGAATGGACTAATACAACAAGTAATTGTACATTTTATACAGAGTCATTAAAAAAACACATATAGGCTAATAACATACTTAAACAGTCAAGTTATCTATGACAAAATTCAAAAGAAGGGAATCTTTTGCCTTGGCATTTGGTCTGTGGTTAGAGATCATGTTTTAGCTACTAATTTTCCCCAATAAGTAACATTAAAGTTACTCACCGTAGACTGAGGCAGTCCTTTGTTACTGTTTCGACCTCTGAAAAGATTAAATATTATTTTTATTAAATTCAACAGGCTAAATAAGCTGAAAAATATTTCCAAACTTAAAATATAATTCCATTCAAATAAAGGAGAGGCTATCTGTGGGGAGAGCTCACCTAATATTAAGTCTAAAGGCTACCTAAGGATGGCTCTACCTATGCACTGCTTGCCTGGAGACCCACAACAGGTAGGGGTCATAGAAGGAAGCAAACTAGAAATAATCAAACTTCATCAAAATCAAATAAATAAAGTAAAATAGCCTACTGGAAGAAAAAAACTAATGCTAAACGTAAATTAATAATAATTATAGCCAGGCATGTGGCATGCACCTCTAGTCCTAGCTACTCAGGAGGCTGAGGCAGGATCACCAGAGTCCAGGAGTCTGAGGCTGCAGTAGGCTACGATCATTCCACTGCAGTCTAGCCTGGGCGACAAAGCAAGACTCTGTCTCTAAATAATAATCTTTACTCCCAAAGTAACCAATCACTGTTATAAAGAGCTATTCAGAAGCAAAACACGGATTATATTCTTGATTTAACCAACACAGATGACTGACACCAAGTCACTTCCCATATTTCTCCCCCATCTATAAAAGAAAAACAGGTCATATGGGCCGGGCGCAGTGGCTCATGCCTGTAATCCCAGCACTTTGGGAGGCAGAGGTGGGCAGATCACAAGGTCAGGAGTTCGAGACCATCCTGGCTAACACAGTGAAACCCCATCTCTACTAAGAATAAAAAAATTAGCCAGGTGTGGTGGCATGCGCCTGTAGTCCCAGCTACTAGGGAGGCTGAGGCAGAAGAATCGCCTGAACCTGGGAGGTGGAGGTTGCAGTGAGCTGAGACCGCCCCATTGTACTCCAGCCGGGGTGACAGAGCAAGACTCTGTCTCAAAAAAAAAAAAAGAAAGAAAAACAGGTCATATGATTACAACTGCAGAAAAAAAAAAACTGAAAATAAGCTAAATCATTCAAAGCACTTTCATTTCTAAATAATATGCGTCTATATGTGTGGATCGTTGTAACAAGTGCCTTTCCTTGCCAACTCTCTCCCTCAGAAAAGATGCAGTACACAAAATTTGGCTGTCAAGTAAAGATGAATTCTATTTTCAAGTGAATTATAGAATATAATACAACCTAAAGCTTATTCCACTGAAAAAGATTAGGCCCCTTAGAATAATTAAAAAACATCATTAAAGTGAAATGTTATATTTCTCATAAACATTAGTCATGACAATAGGACTGGAATCTCATTTTAATAAAATAATCACAACACTCAAGCCAAAATTCAAAACATTCAAGGAAAAGCACAATTCAGATCCAAAAAGTCTAGTAACACGACTGGTCGATCCCTAGAAGAGTACTCTTAACATTCTGAGGCCAGTCCTAGCTTGGTCTCCAACTCTGTCACTTTTCCTCACTTTCTTCTCTCATCCAGAAAACAATGGACTTGAATTAAATGACATCTAGGATTCCTTTCATTTCTAACATTCTAATTCTGTAACTGTTTGCCTCAAACATGGCACAGAGATAAATTCCTGAAGTCTAAGGAATATGACTAATAATTTATCTTTTATAGATCTTACTACAAAACCAGACACCATACTAAGTACTTCACATGCAACATGTCTAATCTATCACCTCTACTTTACAGGTGAGGAAACTGAACCTCAGCAGTCAAGTATCTTGACCAAAATCATCCAGTTCATGAGCAGTAGAGCTGGTATTTAAACCAGGTGTATCTGATTCCACGTCTAAGTTTTTCATTCCTAGGTTATGCTGCCTCTCTGGAACTGTATCACAAGGAATAAACTACCTCGCCTAACAAAAATTCTATGCTTTTTCAAACATCATTTGAATTTACAGTTTTGGTAGGGGTGTGGGGGGGTGTACTTATAGTCTGTACATGAAGGCTAAAATGCCTAAATCTTACTTAGAACGATGATCTGGTATCCTGGTGGCTGCTGAGATGCCAAGTTACAAAACCTTGAACAAATGCCACGAACTGTCCTTAAACTCATATGGCCTCCCTACAAAGCTATATAAAAGACTTAAAAACATAATCCCCTTTAAATAAGTCACACTGTTCTTTTTAGTGATTATGTGGTTACATCTTTGACTAATAAAAAGTAATTGTTTGACCATGGAGTTTACTCAAAAGAACGAATCATTCAACCAGGAAAATATTATCATATAAAAAAACAGTACAGTAAAGTGCAGAAACCACTAATTTCCACTGATCTATGACACGGTTGGACACCCAACAGGAATGTTAGCATATCGAAGCAGTATTCTCTGAAATCCACTGAAGTCTAAATTCTTGTTTCTTTTTGTATCCATTCAAGTTATGCTTTACTTTTAATCTTTTCATTAGTATCTCAAACCAAATATTTTACTATTTAATATAGTAACAAATACTGAACCGCAATAAACAAAGGCCAAGAGCATATTTTAGACCTAAGTATATTTATGATTAGATAGATCAGGTTTAACAAAACACTAATATCCAGGACTCTATGCTTTTAATAGTTGCCAAATATGAAATTCAAGTGTGACTTAAAATGCCAGTCAAATTAATATAAAGAAATTTACATGCTGAATGTGGTAGCTCATGCTTGTAATCCCAGCACTTTAGGAGGCTGAGGCAGGAGGATCACTTGAGTGCCGGAGTTTGAGATCAGTCTGGGCAACAAAGCAAAACCCTGTTTCTACAAAAAATAAAAAACTAGCCAGGCATGGTGGCACACGCCTGTGGTCCCCGCTACTTGGTAGGGTGAGGTGGGAGGATCACTTGAGCCCAGGAGGTCAAGACAGCAGTGAGCTGTGATTATGCCACTGCACTCCAGCATTGGTGACAGAGCAAAACCCTGTCTCAAAAAATAATTAACTAAATAATAATAATACAGAAGGGAGAAATGAATGGGGTTGTAAATCAAACAAGAATGGTATGAGCTGATAACTATTAAAGCTGGGTGATAGGTGTGCAGGGGTTCACTTTACCATTCTGTCTACTTTCACACAATTTCCCTTAAAAAAAAAAAAAAGCACCTTCTGCTTCTGATGTGATACAATAGGATAGACCTAATCAAGTTTACAGATCTACCAGTTTACGAGAAACATTAAGATGGAAGAATATATTAACTGATACCATGAGGTTCCTCACAGTTTAAATCCAGAATGCAGTAAATGCAACATAAAAAATGACAGTTTTTTGTTTTTTTTTTTTTCTGAGACAGAGTCTCACTCTGTCGCCAGGCTGGAGTGCAGTGGCACGATCTTGGCTCACTGCAACCTCCGCCTCCCAGGTAGCTAGGACTACAGGTACGCGTCACCATGCCCAGATAATTTTTGTATTCTTAGTAGAGACGGGGTTTCACCATGTTGGCCAGGATGGTCTTGATCTCTTAACCTTGTGATCCACCCACCTCAGCCTCCCAAAGTGCTGGGATTACAGGCGTGAGCTACCACGCCCGGCCAAAGATGACGGTTTAACAAATAAATCACATGGGACAAAAACATCATAGGAGGAGAACTTATGAATTTTAAAATACATATAAAAGCAATGCATAGGCCAGGTGTGGTGGCTAAGGCCTGTAATCCCAGCACTTTGGGAGGCCGAGGTGGGTGGATCACGAGCTCAGAAGTTCAAGACCAGCCTGACCAATATGGTGAAACCCCGTTTCTACTAAAAATAGAAAAATTAGCCAGGCGTGGTGGTGCACACCTGTAATCCCAGATATTTGGGGAGGCTGAGACCAGAGAATCACTTGAACCCGGGAAGTGGAGGTTCCAGTGAGCCGAGATCGTGCCACTGCACTCCAGCCTGGGCGACAGAGCAAGACTATCTCAAAAAACAAAAAAAAAAAAACTACAAAAAAAAAAAACACTTAATACACTTAAAATTGTTAAAATGGTATATTACTTATATTGCACCATAATTTAGGAGAAAAAAAACTCACAATCTCTTCCCAAAGAAATTTCATTTGCAACAAGGTATGAAAGAGTTAATGATGCTTTCAAAGGCACTTGGTAGGAGGAGAATCATTGGAGATAAGTGCTAAATTGTAGTTGTCTAGTTTGGTGGCCAGAACTAGGGAAAGAGAGCTGGGAGGACTCCTCTGTGGATTGGAACAAATTTCAAACACTGATCTCAGAAACTATCCCTTCAAAGAAGCGCAAATTTGATCAGATCAGTCTGTGGAGCAGTTTAGGCCCAAAGCTCCACGGAAAACAATGCAGGCCCTCCATATCTGCAGATTTCACATCCTCAGATTCAATCACTCGAGATTAAAAACACTTAAAAATAAATACAATAAAAATAAGACAAATAAAAAATATATAACAACTATTTACCTAGTGTTTACACCATATTAGGTATTATAAGTAATCTAGAAATGACAAAGCATACAGGAGGATGTGCACCGGTATATGCAAATACTGTGCCATTTTATGAGGGACTAGAGCATCCATAAATTTTTATATCCAACGGGGGGGTCCTGGGACCAATCCCCCAAGGACACCAAGAAATGACTACACAGCATCACCTAGTAATTAGTGTAGCTTAACAGCTGGGTACAGTCAGGAAAAGAGACAAAGCCATGCCAAAATCACTGTGATTCTAGAGTGATGGTAGGCATACCCAAGGCTGCATCCCAAGAAAACTAGCATCAGACGTGTCACACTGTACAGGGAGGGAAGAAGGATAGAACACTAAAATCATTCAGCCAGTCATTAGACAAATAAGCAAATAACAGTAACAACCACCACCCCCAACCATAGGCTAATGAGGTATCCAGAGTTACTACATTACTTAAAATGTCCAGTTTTCAACAACAAAAAAAAAAACGACAAGCTAAGACACAGGAAAGTATAACCCCACCCACTGGAAAAAGAAGTAGGCAATAGAAATTGCTTGTATAACCAGATGTCTGACTTAATAAGAATTTCAAAAGTGGTCACTATAAACATGTTTTAAGAACGAAAGAAAACCATAATTAATGCAGTAAAAGAAGGTATGATTGGCCAGGCGCCCTGACTCACGCCTGTAATCCCAGCACTCCAGGAGGCCAAGGCGGGCTGAAACCCCATCTCTACTAAAAATACAAAAACAAAATTAGCCAGGCGTGGTGGCAGGCACCTGTAGTCCCAGCTACTCAGGAGGCTAAGGCAGGACAATGGTGTGAACTTGGGAGGCGGAGCTTGCAGTGAGCCGAGATTGTGCCACTGCACTCCAGCCTGGGCAATACAGCGAGACTCCGCCTCAAAAAAAAAAAATAAATGAACAGTCTCTGGCCGGGCATGGTGGCTCATGCCTTAATCCCAGCACTTTGGGAGGCCAAGGCAGGTGGATCACCTGAGGTCAGAGGTTCAAGACCAGCCTGGCAACATGCTCAAACTCCATCACTACTAGATATACAAAAAATTAGCCAGGCATGGTGGCAGGCGCCTATAATCCCAACTATTCAGGAGGAGGTGGCTGAGGGAGGAGAACGGCTTGAACCCAGGAGGTGGAGGCTGCAGTGAGCCGAGATGGCACCACTGTACTCCAGCTTGGGCAACAAGAGCAAACCTCCGTCTCAAAGAAAAAAAAATCATAAAATTAAAATACTACATAAGCAAATACTCACTTGGCTGGGCACAGTGGCTCACACTCATAATCCCACCACTTCAAGAGGCCAAGGCGGGTGGATCACCTGAAGTCAGGAGTTCAAGACCAGCCTAGCCAACATGGTGAAACTCCACCTCTACTAAAACTATAAAAATTAGCCACGTGTGGTGGCACATGTCTGTAATCCCAGCTACTTGGGAGGCTGAGGCACAAGAATTGCTTGAACTCAGGAGGCGGAGTTCATGCCACTGCAATGCAGCCTGGGTGACAGAGCAAGACTCCGTCTTTCTGTTTTTTTTGAGACAGAGTCTACCTCTGTCGCTCAGGCTGGAGTGCAGTGGCATGATCTTGACTCACTGCAACCTCCACCTCCTGGGTTCAAGCAATTCTCCTGCCTCAGCCTCCCGAGTAGCTGGGACTACAGGCGTGTGCCACCATGCCCAGTTAATTTTTTGTATTTTTAGTAGAGACAGGGTTTCACCATGTTAGCCAGGATGGTCTCGATCTCCTGACCTCTTGATCCACCCACCTCGGCCTTCCAAAGTGCTGGGATTACAGGTGTGAGCCACTGCGCCCGGCCTCGAGACTCCACCTTAAAAAAAAAAAAAGAAAATATGCACTTGCCAGGTACAATGGCTCATGCCTGTAATGCCAACTAATCCAGAGGCTGAGGCAGAAGGACCACTTAAGACCCGGAGTTCAAGACCATCCTGAGCAACTTCGCAAGACCCCATCTCTAAAATAGTTTTAAAAAACAGTCAGGTGTTATGCAGGTGCCTGTAGTCCCAGCTACAGATGGGAGGTTCACTTGAGCCCAGGAGTTTGAGGCTGCAGTGAACTATCATCATGCCACTGCACTCCAGCCTTGGTGACAAAGCAGGACTCTATCTCTTAAAAGAGAAAAAGAAGGCCTGGTGTGGCAGCTCACGCCTGTAATCCTAGCACTCTGGGAGGCTGAGGTGGGTGGATCACCTGAGGTCGGGAGTTGGAGACCAGCCTGACCAACATGGAAAAATCCTGTCTCTACTGAACATACAAAATTAGCCAGGAGTGGTGGCGCATGTCTGTAATCCCAGCTACTCGGGAGGCTGACGCAGGAGAACTGCTTGAACCCGGGAGGCAGAGGTTGCAGTGAGCCAAGATCAGGCCACCGCACTCCAGCCTGGGCAATAAGAGCGAAACTCCATCTCAAAAAAAAAAAAAAAAAAAAAAAAATGTAGACAGAATGATGGAAGAAAAGGGCATCACTACTTGGTAACACCATAGTAAATAACTGTTTCAGGCAAAAGTGTCCACAGAAGCTAAATATAGTAAGGGAAAGTAGAAACAGAGTATTTATATAACCACAAAGTAACTCCCCACAAGATACTGATGAAATGACCAAGTGAAAAATAACTTTATAGTGAAGAAACTTAGTAGACACAACTCTAACCAAGTGATCAAAGTTAACAACCCCAGTAATGGGATAAATATATACAATGCACTTTCTGATATCATGCAATGAGAAAAACACACAAATCATTTCTGTTGTATTCCTGCCAAAAATAAATATCTGAATCTAATCATAAGGAAACCTCAGATAAACCCTAGTTGAGGGACAGTCTACAAAATAACCTGTAATCTTCAAAAGTGTCAAGTCATAAAAGACAAAGAAACTGCTTTGGATTAAAGGAGACCAAAGATACATGATAACCGAAGGTAACAATCCTGGATTGGTTCTTGGACAGAGGGAGTAAATACGTATATTCCACATATATATGTAGAATATATGTGTGTATATATATGTGTATATATATATGTAGAATATACATATTTACTGGTTCTTGACCAGAAAAATGTTGATTTGTTGATTGTTTTAAAGGACATTAGAAGGTCTATAAACAGAATAACAGTTTGACACAATTATTAATTTCCTTATTTTGACAACTGTACTGTGGTTTTGAAATAGAATGCCCTTGTTATTAGTACATACAAGTTGAAGTATTTAGGGCTAAAGAGGCATCATGTCTCTCATATGTTTAATAAGAATTTTTATTTTATATTAAATCTTACATATACAATTACCAATACAGAGAAAATGTTAAGGTGAATATGGTAAAATGTTACTTGAAGAATACAGGTGAGATATATAGGAGAATTCTTTATAATATCTTTGCAATTTTTCTAAAAGTCTAAAATTATGTTTAAGTAAAATGTTTTTAATTGGAGACTATAAGTGATGTGATTTGTTAACTCTATTTAATGCATTGTCCAAGGCATTTTTTAAATAATAATACTTAATCCTACTCAGCCTTGAAACTCAAATGCCATCTTTTCAGGAAGTCTTCCTTCGATTATCTCAATCAAATATACGATGCTGTTTTCAACTCTCCAGTTTAGATCTGTATTATAATTACTAGTGTATCTGTCATATACCCACTACTCAGGACCATCACCTGACCATATTATGCTTCTGTGAAAATCAGAAAATGATGCCTCTTCCAGGGGGTCATAGCCCCACATTAGACAAAACAGTGTGGTCGGCAAGCAGTGTCTTTGTGAAAATTAAAAGAAGGTACCAGAAGCACATAGATATAGCCCCCAAAGGCACATTGTGTGGCCAAAGAAACACCTTGATTTCAACATCCATTCACACTTGGTCAGGAACTCTTGGACAAATGAAAACCTAACAACCAAGCTTGGCAAAAGTATCTTTCTACCACTACCAAAATTAGCAGAGGAATCATGCCTCATATGATACACACTGAGTAAATACCTAATGAATTAACAGCCCAATCAGAACAAGGGAAAGAAAAAAAAAGAAAGTTAAAACTTTCCATTTCAAAGCTATCAATCTTTAAATCAGGGGTCAGGACACTACAGCCCACAACCTGTTTTGGTCTGGCTTCTGGGCTAAGAATGATTTTTATGTTCCTCAAGAGTTGCTTATGGTAAAAGGAATTTGAGGGGAAATGGAAAAAAAAAAAAAGGATATGCAACAGAGAAGCTATATGGCCCTAGAGCCTAAAATACTTATTACCTGAGACTTTACATAAAAAGTTTGCCCATCCTCACACTGAAGAAAAAAAAAAACATAGCTGCAACAGCAATACAACAATTAAAAATCAAGCAGAGCCAGGTGCAGAGGTGCAGCCTGTAGTCTCAGCTACTCAAAAGGCTCAGGTGAGAGGATCGCTTGAGCCCAGGAATTAAAGGCCAGTCTGGGCAACGTTACAAGACCCTGTCTTTTAAAAACTGAAAGATAAAGTTGTTTATTATTTTACATGAATCAGTATTTACTACTTCTGCATGGGGGCATTTCTGGTAAAGACTGGAAAACCTGCTAGACAAATTCTGTAAGAGCTGCAACACTCCAGTACTTCTTTTCTCTTTTGTAGAGATGGGGTCGCACTATATTGCCCAAGCTGGTCTCCAGCTCCTGAACTCAAGTGATCCTCCTACCTCAGCCTCCCAAAGTGCTGGGATTACAGGCATAAGACACCATGCCTAGCCTCCAGTACTTCTAAAATAAACTGCTGGATAGCATTAAATTATTTTCATGAAGTTTTATGTACATATAAGAAATGTCATGAATGTCCCCATATTCTCCTTTAAGTAATGCTTTATATTAAAATTTGAGGTTGATCCACCTACTGAAAAAAAAAACGTATTTTACTAGTGTACATGTGATGGCAATACATGCATACCTCATTTTATTCTGCTTTGCTTTATTGAAATTCACAGATGCTGCATTTTTGACAAGCTGACCGTCTGTGGAAACCCCGAGTCGGGCAAGTCCATTAGTGCCGTATTTCCAGTAACATGTGCTCTCTTTGCGCCTGTGTCACATTCTCATAAATCTCACAATATTTTCAAACTTTTCCACTATTATTGTATACGTTATAGTAATCTGTAATCAGATTGTATTTTACAATAATTGTAAATAATAAAGAAAAGATTGTATTTTACAATTGTAAATAATAATTTACAATTATTATTGTATCTGTTATAGTAATCTGTAATCAGTAATCGTTGATGTTACCCTGATTTCTTTTAAGGCACCACAAACGGTCCATATAAGACAGCAATCTTAATAAATGTTGTGTGTTATGACTACTCCACGAACCAGCAGTCAGCTTGTCTCTCTTTCTCCTCGTGCCTCTCTATTCCCTGAGATATAACAATATTGAAATTAGGCCAATTAGGCCAGGCATAGTGGCTCACACCTACAATCCCAGCACTTTGGGAGGCCAAGGCAGGTGGATCACTTGAAGCCAGGAGTTCGAGCCCAGCCTGGCCAACATCGTGAAACCCCATCTCTACTAAAAATACAAAAATTAGCCAGACGTGGTGGTGGGCGCCTGTAATCCCAGCTACTCAGTAAGCTGAGGCACGAGAATTGCTTGAACCTCAGAGTTGTAGGATGCACTGAGCTGAGATCATGCCACTGCACTCCACGCTGGGAAACAGAGTGAGATTCTGTCTCAAAAAAAAAAAAAAAATTACTTCTCATTGACAAAAAGCTATGATGGGAATGTACAAGGACATAAATGTTTTCATAACTGCTAACACAAGAATCAGTCCATAGCCCAGGGATCAAGGGATAATTTTGACGTTTAAGCCATTTTATTTAAGAAATACGGCCGGGCGCGGTGGCTCACGCCTGTAATCTCAACACTTCGGAAGGCCGAGGCAGGCAGATCACCTGAGATCGGGAGTTCAAGACCAGCCTGACCAACATGGAGAAACCCCGCCTCTACTAAAAATACAAAATTAGGTGGGCATGGTGGTGCATGCCTGTAATCCCAGCTACTCAGGAGGCTGAGGCAGGAGAATTGCTTGAACCCGGGAGGCGGAGGTTGCGGTGAGCCGAGATAGCATGCCACTGCACTCCAGCCTGGGTGACAAGAGCAAAAAAAACTCCATCTCAAAAAAAAAGAAAAAAAAAAAAAGAAATACATTCTGTAAGGCTACTACTGCCATTCATAGCCATTCTCTGATGGCAAAATAAATTGAAAACTTTCTAAAAAGTATTCACCATTCTAGATGCCACTGAGAATGCCATCCATGAGCATGGGAGGAGGTTAAAACATCAACATTAACAGGAGTTTTAGAGGAAATTGCTTTTCTTTTTTTTTTTTTTTAAGATAGAGTTTCGCTCCTGTTGCCCAGGCTGGAGTGCAAGGGCACAATCTCAACTCACTGCAACCTCCACCTCCCAGGTTCAAGCGATTCTCCTGCCTCAGTCTCCCAAGTAGCTGGGATTATAGGCGCCCGCCACCACATCCCCGCTAATTTTTGTATTTTTAGTAGAAACGGGGTTTCACCACGTTTGCCAGACTGGTCTTGAACTCCTGACTTCAGGTGATCCGCCCTCCTTGGCCTCCCAAAGTACTGGGATTACAGGCATGAGCCACCGTGCCCAACCAGGAAATTGCTTCTAATACTCATGAATGATTTTGAGGGGTTCAGGACTTCAGTAGAGCAAGTAACTGCAGATGTGGTAAAAAAGCAAGAGAACTAAAATTAGAAGTGGGGTCAGAAGATGTAACTGAATTGCTGCAATCTCATGATAAAACTTGAATAGATGAGGTGTTGCTTCTCATGGATAAGCAAAGAAAGTGGTTTCTTAAGATGGAATCTACACCTGGTGAAGCTGCTGTGAGCACTGTTGAAATGACAACAAAAGATTATGAATATTCCAGAAACAGGCCGGGCGTGGTGGCTCACACTTGTAATCCCAGCACTTTGCGAAGTTGAGGCGGGCAGATCACGAAGCCAGGAGTTCAAGACCAGCCTCACCAATATGGTGAAACCCCGTCTCTACTAAAAATACAAAAATTAGCCTGGCGTGGTGGCATGCACCTGTAGTCCCAGATACTCAGGAGGCTGAGGCAGGAGAATCACTTGAACCCGGAAGGCAGAGGTTGCAGTAAGCTGAGATTGAGCCACTGCACTCCAGCCTGGGAGACAGAGCGAGACCCCATTTCAAAAAAAAAAAAGAACGTTCCAAAAATGAAATGGCCTGGCACAGTGGCTCATGCCTGTAGTCCCAGCACTTTGGGAGACCAAGGCGGGCAGATCACCTGAGGTCAGGAATTCGAGACCAGCCTGGCCAATATGGTGAAACCCCATCTCTACTAAAAATATAAAAATTAGCCGGGTATGGTGGCGTGCACCCATGGCCCCAGCTACTCATGAGGCTGACACAAGAGAATCGCTTCAACTCAGGAGGCAGAGGTTGCAGTGGGCCGAGATTGGGCCACTGCACTCCAGCCTGGGCAACAGACTGTCTCAAAAAAATAAAATAAATGTACATTTTCGTATGTTTGTCTGTCTTATTCACTGTGTTACTTAATTAACAAGCAAAACAATATACACAAACAATCTAACACATCCTGATAACTGAAAAACATTAAATAATCTAAGAATAAAATTACCTTCCATTATTGTTTCAACAACTGGGGGAGGCCGGGCGCAGTGGCTCACACCTGTAATCCCGGCACTTTGGGAGGCTGAGGCAGGTGGATTATCTGAGGTCAGGAACTCAAGACCAGCCTTGCCAACATGGTGAAATCCCCTCTCAAATAAAAATACAAAAATTAGCCGGGCGTGGTGGCACATGCCTGTAATCCCAGCTACTCAGGAGGCTGAGGCAGGAGAATCGCTTGAACCCAGGAAGCAGAGGTTGCAGTAAGCCAATATCACGACAATGCACTCCAGCCTGAGTGACACAGTGAGACTCTGTCTCAAAAACAAAAAACAAAACAAAAAAAAAAACTGGGGAGAAAAAACATGCAATCTCTATTGGTACTGTCACCATACAATATAATTATAGAGCTTCATGTCTTTTTATTTTTCACCATTCTGCTCATCCATCACCATTTTTCAACACTCCTCCTCTATATGTCCTTCAGTAGTTTCTAATGCTATTTCAACAAGACCTGGGTAACAGATTTTTTTATATAATCAAAATATTTCATTGATCCAGGTTTCTAGAATCAGACTGGTTGTATAGAAGTAACTAATTTTCTTTGGCATAAGGGTACCACATACCTCTAACCCCCTTCCAGTAAAACTGTAAGAATGCTCTTCCCTCCAGCTATTCACATGGCTGCCCCTTTCTTGTTAGTTACCAACTTAAATGTCACCTCCTGAAAGAAGCCTTCTCAAACTACCCCCTCTACAGCAGCTCCCCAACTATTATGTCTACCCGTTTTAATACTTAAGTAACTAATATTTAGTACATCAGTTAGACAATTAACTAAAATCTAGAAATCAAGTTCCACCTCTTAAGGTTAACTCACTTAGGTGAGTCATTTTGTTCTTCCAATTTCAGACTTCTTGTTGTTGTTTACATTATTATTAGAAAGGGAAATCCTATACCACGTATTGAATATTTTCTCCCTAAAAAGTTGAGTCAAATGAGGTGGCAAGAGGGGGTAGGCCATGACAACCCAAACACAGTGAAGCTAGAGTTTTTTTTGTTTTGTTTTGTTTTGTTTTGTTTTTAGGAAACTGAGGTGGGAAGGCAACTCTAAATTCACACAGAACAACTGCCAGATTAATCCGGTCATATAATCATCTAGGATCATTGTTTCAAAACAATTACCATTCACACAAGAACTAATATCAGCATTAATTGCTTGGGTTCAAATTCCGGCTCCATCACTTCTCAGCTCTGTGGCCTTAATCCTGTGACTTCAGCTCTCTGTGTTTCAATTTCAACATCTATGAAATGAAGATGAAAATAGTACCTTCTCAAAAGAAAAAAAATAGTATCTTTTCATAAGGTTGTGGAAATTAAGTAATATTCCATACAGATCGCATAGCTTAAAACAGTGCCTGGTATGTTATTAAGTGTTTAATAACTGCTAGCTAATATAATTATTTCCTCATATTCCAGCATACACTAGAGTAGTAAAGGAGAAAAAAAAGGCCAGTCGCAGTGGCCCACACCTGCAATCCCAGCACTCTGGGAGGCCAAGGTGAGTCCAGGAATTTGAGACCAGCCTGGACAACATGGCGAAATCTCGTCTCTACAGAAAGTTTTAAAAATTAGGCAGGTGTGGTGGCTCATGCCTACAGTTCCAGTTACTTGGGAGCTGAGGTGGGAGGATCACTTAAGCCCAGGAAGTCGAGGCTGCAGTGAGCCAGGATCATGCCACTGGACTCCAGCCTGAGTGACAGAGCGAGACCCTGTCTTAAAACACCACCACCACCACCACACTCTTCATATGAAGTTTTACCCCTTCAGTGCCTTTACCCCTTGAGTCCCTCTAGAGAAAGGGATAAAAGGCTTGGTCATGAAGCCATGAACAACTAGATCCAACCTAGACACACCAAAAAATCCAAACAACTCAGGTAGAAAAGGATCTTAGGGCTCTAGTCCCATGCTGTCCAAGAGAACTTTGTACAATGATGAAGATGTCCTATGTCATGCTGTCCAATATTGCAGCCATTAGGCACATGTGGCAGCTAAGCACTTGAAATACGATTAGTATGGCTGAGGAACTGAAATATTTAAATTTTAATCAACATAATTTTAAATTTAAAGAACCATGTGTGGAAGTAGCCACAATACTGGACAGTGCCCATTCCCATCTTCTCGAGTTCTCCAGACAGTAAGCCACCCCCTTCCACGGCATTCATATCACCTCTGACTTATGCACCAAGAATGCTTCCTGACAGGAAACTCAAGTCTCTCCCAACGATCTACCCGTTGCTCATAAACTTATCCCTTTCTGGAGGCCACAAAACAATTGTATTCCCCTTCAAAAGACTATCAGTGGAGGAGAGGGGAGTATAGCTGAAACAACGTTGGCCATTTACTGATAACTGCTAAAGCTGAGTGACAGGTACATAAGATTCATCCAGCTGTTCTCTTTCTAAATACGTTGAAATTTTACATTTTAAAAACCTTATTAGCGTTTACTTTAAGCTCATTTCATTTTCTAACTGAAACATATTCTTCCAAATGTGTTTCCTTACTTTCAGTGAGGACCCCCTCCAATTCTTCTATCACACTGTGAACCAAATTTTTTCTACATACACCATGTGTATAGCAATCCCTGTACTTTAGCACAAACTCTTCCCGCCTGGAACTTCCTCCTCTCTTCATGGCCTTACTGAAAACTGCTTATCTTCCTTGAAGATCCATCTCAACTCTCATTATTTTGAAGCCCTTTTTCTTCACTGCCCACCCATGGCAGTCCCCTCCCAGTGCTACCAATTTAAACTATCTGCATGCCTGCCTTCTCTACTACACTGGGTAACCTGGAAGCAGAGATAATGTTTCATTCATCTTTGTCTCTGTCCTAGTCTGACAGCATCAAATGTGTAATGAATTAATGAATATACAAACTTAATGAAACGCTAAACTGTAGCCATTCATACTGTACTACCCCAAGCCCATCAATACCACTTTTCAACCTTAACTTGCTGGTGTAGTTTCTACTGGTTTCCAAACATGCTAATAAGAACAGCTAAAAGTTACTGAGCACTTATTACTTGCCAGGCATTGCTTTAAGCGTGTTACATGTTTAATTCATTTAATCCTCTTCCATCCCCTTTTTACAGGGGAAGAAACTTAAGCATAAGTGAAAATAACTTGCCTTACATCACGAAGTATGAAGGAGCAGGGATGCGAATACTAATTGTAAAGTCCCTGCTCCTGTGTACAACAAGGAAGACAAATCATAATCTCAAATGCAAGCTTCAAATCCCAAAATTCAGATTTGGGAAAGGGGATTAGGATGCCAAATAGGAATACTGACCTGTAAAAAGAAAAAGTAACTTTAGGCATTCTCCACAAAACAGTGTGAGGGAAAATGGTAATCTTTTTATTCTTGTAATTTATAGTAAGCTACTACTGAATAAGAAAGCTAACTTGTACTAGACAAAGTTAAGTTCTACAGGAAGTTTTTAATTATTAGAATTAGTTTCATGGAAAATTTGGGCTAGATCTTAAAGGGTAAGTATGAGGATCTCGAATGGCAGAACAATGATGGAGGAGCAAGCAAGAGGCAGACACTGGGCACTGGACCTCCACAAGCAGTGAGGAAGGAGACCATCTTGATTTAAATGGAGGTCATATTTTTGAAGAGTTAATGGGAAACATGATCAGAAAGGTAAAATGGAGTTCTATTAGGGGTCAGCAAATGCCCATGGCCTATTTTCACATGGCTTAAAGCTCAGAATATTTTTTACACTGTAAAGAGCTTTTAGGTCAGGCACGGTGGCTCACACCTGTAATCCCAGCACTTTGGGAGGCAGAGGTGGGCAGATCACCTGAGATCAGGAGACCAGCCTGGCCAATGTGGCGAAACCCCATCTTTACTAAAAATACAAAAATTAGCTGGGCGTGGCAGCATGTGCCTGTAATCCCAGTTACTCGGGAAGCTGAGACAGGAGAATCGCCTGAACCCAGGAGGCAGAGGTTGCAGTGAGCCAAGATTGCACCACTGCACTCCAGCCTGAGCAACACAGCAAGACTCTGTCTCAAAAAAAAAAAAAAAGGGGCTTTTAAAATATGTAAAGAAAACGTGCAAACATACACAAAAAAATGGGACTGTATATGGACTGCAAAGCCTAAAATATTTACTATCGGGCTGGGCACGGTGGTTCACACTGGTAATCCCAGCACTTTGGGAGGCCGCAGCAGGTGGATCACCTGAGGTCAGGAGTTCGAGACCAGCCTGACCAAAATGGTGAAACCCCCATCTCTACTAAATACAAAGAAATTAGCCGAGCGTGGTGGCACATGCCTATAACCCCAGCTACTTGAGAGGCTGAGGCAGGAGAATCACTTGAACCTGGGAGGCAGAGGTTGCAGTGAGCCAAGATGGCACCATTGCACTCCAGCCTGGGTGACAAGAGCAAAACTCCATCTCAAAAAAAAAAAACAAATTTACTATCTGGCCCTTTACGAAGTTTGACAGGCCTTGGATTAGGTCATAGAAAGCTTTGAAGGTAGACTCCCTCAGGCTTGGGAATAGGGTGATTTTTAAGCAGAGGGGTAACCCAACACAAGTAGAGTTGAAGTCTAACAGCAAAAGGTAGGCTAGGTTAAACCCATGGATAAAATTAATGTATCGCAGTAATTAAGAATAAAATGTACAACCTCCTGATATTGTTTGGCCCAAATAAATAACAGCATAGCCAAGAATTTGCCTAAAGTCACAGAGGAAAGGAATTATTCTCTCAACTATTATATTCCTTCCCTCTGGAAGACTAACATGTACTGCTGAAGTCTTGTTCAGTGTCCTTCTAGCCCCAGACTTTGCAGCCTACCAACATGGACTGAGACAGGGAAAGCGTGGGCAAGTGAGTTCCATACTCTAATTTTCCTACAGAAGCATCCTAAGTGGTGTGTGGGTTCTCAGATCAAGTCACAAACACATTCACAGCCCATGATATCGTACAACACTACTTTTTAGTTCAAATTAATTATGAGTAACAACAGACTATCTGCCAAAATAGGGAGCTGCAGAAAACTAACCATCATTTATGATGTTGTTTCCAAATTTCAAAATTTTAAAAAAAAAAAAATTATAAACAAACTTTTTGATTGAAACTCACTGATAGAGAACTGCCAGGACTAAAGCATGGTTGATTGAAGAAATTTTATTGCTGACAATAATCACCGGATTGTTTTCTTCATTATTGTTATTATTTTTATTTATTTATTTATTTATTTTTTGAGACGGAGTCTTGCTTTGTTGCCTACGCTGGAGTGCAATGGAGCGATCTCAGCTCACTGCAACCTCCACCTCCCAGGTTCAAGCGATTCTCCTTGCCTCAGCCTACTGAGTAGCTGGGATTACAGGTGCTTGTCACCACGCCTGGCTAACTTTTTTGTATTTTTAGTAGAGACGGAGTTTTGTCATGTTGGCCAGGCTGGTCTCAAATTCCTGACCTCAGGCGATCCACACGCCTCGGCCTCCCAAACTGCTGGGATTACAGGCATAAGCGACTGCTCCCAGCCTTCTTCACTGATTTTTACTTGTTTTTGTCATATCTCTATATTAGAAGCAATGGAACAGTTATTAAAAAGCAAAGACTTTGAAATCTCACAAGGTTAAAAATCTCAGCTTTGTCACTTCCTATCTCTTTGACCTAAAGGCAATTTCCTTAATTTCTCCAATCCATCACTTCCTCATCTGTAAAACAGATATGGCACTACCAGCCTGACAGGCTGGGCTGTTGTAAGGCTTAAAAGATATACAAGTAATGCTCTTGGCACAGCTCTCCTGAAACCTAATAGGCACACAATAAATGGTATTTTATGACATAACATTTATTACCTAAATAAAATGTTCATCTTTTCACATCATAGATAGCTAAATGTGTTTTTTCTTTCTTTTTTTTTTTTTTTCCAGAAAAAATGGCCACTACTACCACTTGGCTCAGAAATGCTAGTCTTTATTTTCTGAAATGTTTTATATAGAAAAAATTTAATAATAAATAGACATTCTTATATATTTCCTTACCATTTTAGATTGGGTTAAAAAGTATGGAGACTTCCGGCCGGGTGCGGTGATTCAAGCCTGCAATCCCAGCACTTTGGGAGGCTGAGGCAGACAGATCATGAGGTCGGGATCTGTGGCTAACACAGTGAAACCTCATCTCTACCAAAAATACAAAAAAATTAGCCGGGCGTGGTGGCGGGCACCTGTAGTCCCAGCTACTCGGGAGGTGGAGGCAGGAGAATGGCGTGAACCCGAGAGGCAGAGCTTGTAGTGAGCCAAGATCGCACCACTGCACTCCAGCCTGGGCGACAGAGCAAGACTCTGTCTCCAAAAAAAAAAAAAAAAAAAAAAAAAGGTATGGAGACTTCTTATAGCATTTATAGACTATGAACAACTAAATTCCCTGAATTCCGTATCTGTCACAAATGTAAATTCCTCATTTTCTTTTCTTTTTTTTGGCGGTGGGGGGATAGGGTCTCACTCTGTCGCCTGGGATGGTATACAGTGGCGCAATCATAGCTCACTGCAACCTCCAATTCCTGGGTTTAAGTGACCCTCCTGAGTCAGCCTCCCAAGTAGCTGAGACTATACGCATGCACCACCATGCCCAGCTAATTTATTTTTGTAGAGATGGGGCCTCACTATGTTGCCTAGGCTGATCTTGAATTCCTGAGCTCAAGCGACCCTCCTCCCTTGGCTTCCCAAAGTGCTAGAATTACAGGTGTGAGCCACTGTGCCCAGCCAAAATTCCTCATTTTCTTTTCCGTTTTTCATACTGTTGAAGTATAGTCCTTCACCCAGAGAAGCTAGTGACTCAAGTTCCTGGTTGATTAAAAGAAACTATTAATAACATTTTTTAATACCATCACTAGTTTTCTTTCTTTCCAGAGATCCAAAATACAATGATAGTAACTCATCTCTGCCACCTTCTGAGTGAATTTGAATAGGTCATTTAACCTCTCTGGGCCTTCATTTCCTCATGGGTAAAATGAGGACAGGATAACAGATTATCTAACAGGGCTATGTGGTAATCACATGAGATTATGTATGCCCTGGGAGAATAAACTCACGGTAGCGTCCGGTTCACTCAATCCTGTTTCCCTCCCTTTTTAATTATGACCCTAATCAATTTTTCAAGCTGAGGTCAGAAAGCTTCTCAAACATACTTATTTCTGGGCATAGCCAGTGGCTGTCCCTGAAGCACTAAAAAGAACAAGACCCTTAGCAACATACCAGACTGCTGATAAGAGGGGCTGGAGCGCAGTGCTGTGATCATAGCTCCTGCAATCTTTAACTCCTGAGCTCAAGCAATCCTCTCGCTTCAGCCTCGTAGTAGCTGCGACTACAGGTGTGTGCTGCCATCCCCCATTAATTAAAAAATATTTTTTGTAGAGATGGGGTCTTGTTATGTTTCTCAGCCTGGTCTTGAACTCCTGGCCCTTCCCATTTCAGCCTCCCCATGACGTGGGGAGGTTTACAGACATGACCCAGGCCCATTCTTCTGATTTTGTTTTCCTCTTCATCTAAAAGAACTCCTTTCAAGATTTTATGAGACAGAAGTAAACATCAGCATCTCAAACACCTCAATGCCATAAGGTGGCAGGGGCAATGAGAACTTTCTGCCTAGTCTATACTACCACATAAGCTCCAAAAAGAGAGAGACCTCATCTGGCTTATTCACTACTGTATTCCCAAGCCTCACAAGCAGGAGGTACTCCAAAAATAAAAAAAGGGGAGGAAATTAAACGTGGTATGCCTATAAATGCCATGCTTTCTACATGACAGGGTCAACTACTACTGCTTAATAATAAAACCAATAGTCAGCCAGGCGCAGTGGCTCACGCCTGTAATCCCAGCACTTTGGGAGGCCAAGGCGGGTGGATCATGAGGTCAGGAGTTCCAGAACAGCCTGGCCAAGATGGTGAAACCCTGTCTCTACTAAAAATACAAAAATTAGCCAGGCACGGTGGTGGGCGCCTGTAATCCCAGCTACTTGGGAGGCTAAGACAGGAGAATCACTTGAACCTGGGAGGCGGAGGTTGCAGTAAGCCGAGATCATGCCGCTGCACTCCAGCCTGGGCGACAAGAGACAAACTCTGTCTTAAAATAACATAACATAACATAACATAACATAACATAACATAACATAACATAACATCACACCAAACCAAACCAATAGTCTGGCCGGGCACCACGGCTCACACCTATAATTCCGCCACTTTGGAAGGTCGAGGTAGGCGGATCACTTGAGAATAGGAGTTTGAGACCAGGCTGACCAACATGGTGAAACCCCATTTCTACTAAAAATACAAAAATTAGTCAGGCACGGTAGTGCACGTCTGTAGTCTCAGGTACTTGGGAGGCTGAATCACCTGAACACAGGAGGCGGAGGTTGCAGTGAGCTAAGATTGCGCCACTGCACGCCACTGTACTCCAACCTGGGCAACAGAGTGAGACTCCATCTCATAAAAATAAAAATTAAACCAACAGTCACATATTCAACAAATTATTATTATTATTTTGAGACACAGTCTCACTCTGTCACCCAGGCTGAAGTACAGTGGCACGATCTCTGCTCACTGCAACCTCTGCCTCCCGGGTTCAAGAGATTCTCCTGCCTCAGCCTTCTGAGTCACTGAGACTGTAGATGAGCCACGCACAAATGGCCAATTTGTGTATTTGTAATAAACACAGGGTAGGCCAGGTGTGGTGGCTCACGCCTGTAATCCCAGAACTTTGGGAGGCCGAGGCGGGCGGATCACAAAGTCAGGAGTTCGAGACCATCCCAGATAACACGGCGAAACCCCATCTCTACTAAAAATAAAAAAATTAGCCAGGCATGGTGGCGGGCTCCTGTAGTCCCAGCTACTTGGGAGGCTGAGGCAGGAGAATGGCATGAACCTGGGAGTCGGAGGTTGCAGTGAGCCGAGATCACGCCACTGCACTCCAGCCTGGGCGACAGAGCGAGACTCCGTCTCCAAAAAATAAATAAATAAATAAACAAACAAACAAACCCAGGGTTTCACCACGTTGGCCACGCTGGTCTCGAACTCCTGACCTCAGGTGATCTGCCCGCCTCGGCCTCCCAAAGTGCTGGGATTACAGTCGTGAGCCACTGCGCCTGGCCACGACAAGTTAATTGATAACTTACTAAGCATACAAAGTTGTACAAAACACTTGTTCCTACTGTCAAGATGCTCTAAATCTAGAAGGAAGATAATGCAAATATTTCCAAACAAGTCAGATCGCAAATAAACACATGCACCGCATGTTTCAATTATTTATTTATTTATTTATTTATTTTGAGACAGAGTCTCGCTCTGTTGCCCAGGCTGGAGTGCAGTGGCACGATCTCGGCTCACTGCAAGCTCCGCCTCCCGGGTTCACGCCATTCTCCTGCCTCAGCCTCCCGAGTAGCTGGGATTACAGGCGCCCGCCACCACACCCGGTTAATTTTTAGTATTTTTAGTAGAGACGGGGTTTCACCGTGTTAGCCAGGATGGTCTCGATCTCCTGACCTTGTGATCCACCCGCCTCGGCCTCCCAAAGTGCTGGGATTACAGGCATGAGCCACCGGGCCCGGCCCGCATGTTTCAATTAACAACAGACCTATATACAATGATCAACCAGTAAGTTAAGGTAAATTTACTCTTAAAGAAAGATATTTTTGACCAGGCGTGATGGCTCACACCTGTAATCCCAGCACTTTGGGAGGTCAAGGTGGGCAGATCACTTGAGGTCAGAGGTTAAAAGTCTTAACTCCTAACCACAGTGAACTTTCTGTCTGCAGAAAAGAGCATTGGTCAACAGTTCACAAAACGGCTAGGCATGATGGCGTGCACCCACAGTCCCAGCTACGTGGGAAGCTGAGGTGGGAGGATTGCTGGAGCCCAGGAGTTCAACGCCCTGGGCAATACAGCAAGACCTCATCTCTGGCCAGGTGCGGTGGCTCACATCTGTAATCCCAGCACTTTGGGAGGCCACGGCGGGTGGATCACCTGAGGTCAGGAGTTCGAGACCAGCCTGGCCAACATGGTGAAACCCCCGTCTCTACTAAAAATACAAAAATTAGCCAGGTGTGGTGGCACGCACCTGTAATCCCAGCTATTCAGGAGGTTGAGGCAGGAGAATCGCTTGAACCCAGAAGGCAGAGACTGCAGTGAGCCAACATCACGCCACTACACTCCAGCCTGGGCGATAGAGCGAGACTCCATCTCAAAAAACAAAATAAGAAAGATATTTATCAATTTAGTGTATCCTAACTGTTCAGTGTTTGTCTACAGTAGCATACAGTAATGTCCTAGGCCTGCACATTCACACACCACTGATAAATGACTCATCCCAAGCAACTTCCTGTCCTGCAAGCTCCATTCATGGTAAGTGACCTATTCAGATATACCACTTTTATCTTTTACGCTGTATTTTTACTCACCTTTTCTATGTTTAGATATGTTTAGATTCACAAATACTTAACATTATGTTACATCTGCCAACAGTGTTCAGTACCGCAACATGCTATACAGATTTGTAGCCTAAGAGTAATACTCTGTACGACAGCCTATGTGTCTAGTAGGTATACCATCTAGGCTTGTGTAAGTAAACTCTATATTTGTACAATGATAAGATCACCGAAAAAATTTCTCAAAACACATCCCCATCATTAAGCAATGCATAAACATAGTTTCTCATCACCAAAGATGGTATGAATGTCAAATAAACACATGAAAAAATGCTCAATATCACTGGGCATTAGGGAAATGCAAATTAAAACCACAATGAGGCCAGGCACAGGGGCTCATATCTATAATCCCAGCACTTTGGGAGGCTGAGGTAGATGAATCACTTGAGCCCAGGAGTTCAACACCACCCAGGGCAACATAGTGAGACCTCTTCTCTACTAAAAATCAAAGCAAACTACCAGGTGTGGTGGTACATGCCTGTGGTCCCAGCCAGGAGGCTGAGGCAGGAGGATCACTTGAGCCCAGGAGGTCAATGTTGCAGTCAGACAATATCGCACCACTGCACTCCACCCTGGGTGACAGAGCAAGACCCTGCCTCAAAAAAAAATTCATACACTGCTAGGGAAAGAAAATATAGCAGTCACTTTAGCAAACAGTTTAGCAATTACTTTTAAAATTAAATAAACACTCACAGGATTATATGTACCCTGGAAAAATAAACACTTGCCACAAAACCCAGCAATCTCATTTCTATGCATTCCAACCAAGAGAAATAAAATCATATGTTCACACAAAACCTGTACATAAATATTCATACCAGCTTTATTTATTTATTTTTTTGAGACGGAGTTTCACTCTTGATGCCCAGGCTGGAGTGCAATGGTGCAATCTTGGCTCACCACAACCTCTGCCTCCCGGGTTCAAGCGATTCTCCTGCCTCAGCCTCCTGAGTAGCTAGGATTACAGGCATGCGCCACCACGCCTGGCTAATTTTGTATTTTTAGTAGAGATGGGGTTTCTCCATGTTGGTCAGGCTGGTCTCAAACTCCCAACCTTAGGTGATCCGCCTGCCTCGGCCTTCCAAAATGCTGGGATTACAGGCGTGAGACATCGCACCCGGCCTCCAGCTTTATTTTTAATAGCCAAAACCTGCTAACTCAATGTCCACCACTAGATGAACAAACTGGTACATGCATACAATAGACTACTACTCAACAATAAGCAGAAAGAAACTACTAACATGCAATAGTACAGACGACCTTTTTTTTTTTTTTTTGAGATAAGAGTCTCACTATGTCACCCAGGCTGGAGTGCAGTGGCGTGTTCTTGGTTCACTGCAACCTCCTCCTCCTGGGTTCAAGTGATTCTCCTGTCTCAGCCCCCCCGAGTAGCTGGGATTACAGGAGCGCGCCACCGTGCCTGGCTAATTTTTGTACTTTTAGTAGACACAGGGTCTCACCATGTTGGCCAGGCTGGTCTCGAACTCCTGACCTCAGGTGATCCACCCACCTCAGCCTCCCAAAGTGCTGGGATTACAGGCGTGAGCCACTGGGCCCAGCCAGAGATAAGGTCTTGCTGTGTTGCCCAGGGCCTTGAACTCCTGGGCTCCAGCGATCCTCCCACCTCAGCTCCCCAAGTAGCTGGGACTATGGGTGCACGCCATCACACCTAGCCATTTTGTGAACTGCTGACCAATGCTCCTCTCTGCAGACAGAAAGTTCGGTGTGGTTAGGAGTTAAATGGGAAGAAAGAGGAGGCTGGGTGCAGTGGCTCATGCCTGTAATCCCTCCCAACACTTTGGGAGGCCAAGGCAAGAGTTTCACTTGAGCCCAGGAGTTTGACACCAGCCTGGGCAACAGAGCAAGATCCTATCTCCGAAAAATTAAAAATAAGAAAAGTAATTAGCCGGACATGGTGGTACACACCTGTAGCCCCAGGTACTCAGCAAGCTGAGGTGGGATGATGGGATGATTGCTTGAGCCCAAGAATTCGAGGTTACACAGTTACAGTAAGCTATGATCGTGCCACTACACTCCACCCTGAGCAACAGAGGAAGATTCTGTCTCCAAAAAAGAAAAAAAAAAAAAAGATGACAACGGAACGGGAGGTGGGTGTAGTCCCAGCTACTAAGGAGGCAGAATCATCTGGGCTCAGGAGTTCAAGGTCAGCCTCAGCAACATAAGGAGACCCTGTCTCTTAGGAACAAAAGGGGAGGGGGAGAGAGAAGGGGAGGGAGGGGGGGAGAGAGAAGGGGAGGGAGGGAGGGAGAGAGGAAGGGTTGGGAGAGACAGAGAAAGAAAAAGAAAGGAAAAAATAAAAAGGAGAGAAAGGAAGGAAAGAAGGGAAGACAGGAGGAGGCAGCGGGGAGGGGAAAAAAGGAGAGGAGGGATGAAGAGAAAGAAAGGAAACGACAAAGAAAGGCCAGGCATGGTGGCTCATGCCTATAATCCCAGCACTGGGAGGCCGAGGCAGGTGGATCACCTGAGGTCATGAGTTCGAGACCAGCCTGGCCAACATGGTGCTACCCCATCTCTACTAAAATACAAAACCTAGCCGGCTGTGGTGGCAGGTGCCTGTAGTCCCAGCTACTTGGGAGGCTGAGACAGGAATAGCTTGAACCCAGGAGGTGGAGGTTGCAAGGAGCCAAGATTGCCCCACTGCACTCTAGGCTCGGCAACAGAGCGAGACTCCATCTCAAAAAAAAAAAAAAAAAAAGAAATGTATTAGAAATAAAAGTACATCAGATTCTAATGCCAGTTATGCAGCCAATGATGAGATACTCTGGTAAATAACCCTCTTGGTCTCAATTTCTTCACCCGTAAATAGAATGAGTACTAAAAAACCACCAGAGCCAGAGAAATCCAAACTACCAGGGAAAGGGAGGGGCCCACTGAGAACCACCCCAGCAACCCGACCACAGCTGGTCTTCCCTGGACACCATGAACCACAATGTCCAAACCTCTTCACTCCTGCCAACATCGGCCATCCCCCTAACTATGAGATGCTCAAGGAGGAGCAAGAGGTGGCTGTGCTGGGGGCACCCCACAACCCTGCTCCCCCAATGTCCACCGTGATCCCCATCCACAGCGAGAACTCCGTGCCCGACCATGTCGTCTGGTCCCTGTTCAACACCCACTTCATGAACTCCTGCTGCCTGGGCTTCATAGCATTGGCCTACTCCGTGAAGTCTAGGGACAAGAAGATGGTTGGCGACCTGATCAGGGCCCAGGCCTATGCCTTTACCGCCAAGTGCCTGAACATCTGGGCCCTGATTGTGCGCATCATTACGACCATTCTGCTCAGCATCATCCCAGTGTTGATCTTTCAAGTCTATCAACAGATCAGGAGGCATTATCTAGGCCAGGAGCTCTGCCCGTGATCTGATTCCCATGTACTCCATCCACCCTCCATTCCTCGCCCTGCCCCCAGAGCCAAGTTCTCTATCAGCCGTTTATCCTCACACACTTTTCTACAATGGCATTCAATAAACTGCACGTGTTTCTGGTTTAAAAAAAAAAAAAAAACACCAGAGCCATTCCAACTCCAAATGCGTTTGACTCTACATTGTTGAACATCTACTATGTGCCAAGAACAGAACATAAGAAGAATTTAGGCTGGGTGTGCTGCCTCATGGCCTTAATTTCAATACTTTGGGAGGCCAAGGCAAGAGGAGTACTTGAGGGCAGAAGTTCAAAACCAGCCCGGGTAACAGTGAGACTGTCTCTACAAAAATTTTTTTAAATTGTAGGGCGCAGACACTTTGGGAGGCGAAGGCGGGCAGATCACTTGAGCTCAGGAGTTTGAGACCAACCTGGGCAACATGGTAAGACCCTGTCACTACTAAAAATACAAAAAATTAACCAGGCATGATGGCACACACATGTGGTCCCAAGCTACTCAGGAGGCTGAGGCAGAACTGCTTGAACTCGGGAGGTGGAGGTTAGAGTGAGCAGAAATTGCACCACGCACTGCAGCCTGGGTGACAAAGCGAGACGGTGTCTCAAAAAAAAAAAAAGAACTGCAGGGTGTGATGTTGCATGTGCCTGTGGTCCCAGCTACTCAGGAGGCTGAGGTGGGAGGATCACTTGAACCCAGGAGTTAAAGGCTGCAATAAGCCATGATCACAATACTGTACTCCAACCTGGGCAATACAGCAAGATCCCATCTCAAAAAATAAATACATAAAAACAGAAAATATTAAGACTTTAGTATCTCAGTTTTTTTGTTTGTTTGTTTGTTTGTTTGAGACGGAGTCTCGCTCTGTCGCCCAGCAGGCTGGAGTGCAGTGGCACCATCTCCGCTCACTGCAAGCTCTGCCTCCCGGGTTCACGCCATTCTCCTGCCTCAGCCTCCCAAGTAGCTGGGATTACAGGCGCCCGCCACCACGCCTGGCTAATTTTTTGTATTTTTAGTAGAGACAGGGTTTCCCCATGTTAGGCAGGACGGTCTCGATCTCCTGACCTCGTGATCCACCCGCCTCGGCCTTCCAAAGTGCTGGGATTACAGGCACGAGCCACCGCGCCCGGCCAGTATCTCAGTTTTTTTTTTTGTTTGTTTTTTTTTTTTTTTTGGAGACAGAGTCTCGTTCTGTCGCCCAGGCTGGAGTGCAGTGGCACAATCTTGGCTCACTGCAACCTCCACCTCCTGGGTTCAAGCGATTCCCCTGCCTCAGCCTCTCGAGTAGCTGGGACTACAGATGCGCACCACCATGCCCAGCTAATTTTTTCTATTTTAGTAGAGATGAGGTTTCACAATGTTGCCCAGGTTGGTCTCGATCTCCTGACCTCGTGATCCACCCGCCTCAGCCTCCCAAAGTGCTGGGATTATAGGCGTGAGCCACCGCGCCCAGCCAAGGAAGATATTCTTTCTCTTTTAATAGGTAAATAAACTAAGCCTGAGAGTGGCTGAGTAACTTGCCCATTCAAACATGTGACCAAGCAGTTAAGTGCCAACCATTCAAGAAATAGGGATACAATCAATAGTGAACAAAACAAAGTTCCTGCTTTCATAGAGCTTAAATTTTAGTTACTGAAGAGTGAACCATGGCCAGGCACGGTAGATCATGCCTGTAATCCCAGCACGTTGGGAGGCCCAGGTGGGCGGACCACCTGAGGTCAGGAGTTCAAGACCAGCCTGAACAACATGGCGAAAACCCCGTCTCTACTAAAAATATAAAAATTAGCTGGGCATGGTGGTGGGTGCCTGTAATCCCAACTATTCAGGAGGCTGAGGCAGGAGAATCACTTGAACACAGGAGGTGGAGGTTGCAGTGAGCCAAGATCGCACCATTGCACTCCAGCCTGGGCAACACAGCAAGACTCCGACTCAAAAAAAAAAAAAAAAAAAAAAAACAGTGAACCATGATTCCAGCTTAGACTGGAGTTGCCAGATAAAATACAAGATGCTCAGTTAAATTTCAACTTTAGATAAATAACTTTTTTCTATGCAATTTAATACACAATTATACTAAAAAACTGGTCAATGTTCATCAAAAATTCAAATTTAACTGAGTGTCCTGTATTTCTATTTGCCAAATCTGACAACCCTAGCTTAGATATAACCTCAAAACTCTTTCTCAATCCTTTTACTGCGTTTCTCTGGCTCTAAAGCAGTAACTTTTTTGACTATATCAATAAAAAATTACTTAAAAAAAAATTTTTGGCTAGGCACGGTGGCTCATCCCTGTAATCCCAGCATTTCTGGACACCAAGGTGGGTGGATCATCTGAGCTCCAGAGTTCAAGACTAGCCTGAACAACATGGCAAAACCTCATCTCTTCAAAAAATACAAAAATTAGCCAGGCATGGTAGCGTGCTCCTGTACTCCCAGCTACTCAGGAGGCTGAGGTGGGAGGATCGCTTGAGCCCAGGAAACAGAGGTTGCAGTGAGCCGAGACTGCACCACTACATTCTAGCCTTGGTGACAGAGACCCTGTCTCAAAAAAAAAAAAAAAAAAAAAAAAAAAAAAAAAATTCATTGAACTGTTGCTGCTCGTGGCAGAGCAGGACTAGTCCATAGGCAATGTGCCCAGAGTTGGCCAAAAATTACATTTTGAATTACAATGCGGTATATATACATTAACTCAAACCAAAGCTTAAAACAATTCTTGGCAGCTGGGTGCAGTGGCTCACACCTGTAATCCCAGCACTTTGGGAGTCGAGGTGGGCAGATTACGAGGTCAAGAGATCAAGACTATCCTGGCCAACATGGTGAAACCCCATCTCTACTAAAAATACAAAAATTAGGCCGGGCACAGGGGTTCATGCCTGTATCCCCAGCACTTTGGGAGGCCGAGGCAAGTGGATCACCTGAGGTCAGGAGTTCAAGACCAGCCTGACCAACATGGAGAAACCCCATCTCTACTAAAACTAAATACAAAATTAGCCAGGCATGGTGGAGCATGTCTGTAATCCCAGCTACTCAGGAGGCTGAGGTAGGAGAATCACTTGAACCCGGGAGGCAGATCGGGCCATTGCACTCCAGCCTCGGCAACTAAGAGCGAAACTCCATCTCAAAAACAATTATTTCAATAATGCAATGCATCCTAACACTTCTTATTCTTTTTCATTTTTCTAAAAATGCTTGTCATAATCCACTAATGTGTTTCACAATCTACTAAGGGGTCATGATCTGCAGATTGAAAAATACTTCTTTGGGAGATATAAAAAATCATTTAACCTGGTGTTATGAGTCACCATTATGAGCACATTAACTAACTACACTGTGCTATAAAACAGTAATGCCCTTAGGGCCTAAGATATACAGCTATAAACTTACAGTCAAAACTCCCAGGCCGGGAGTGGTGGCTCACGCCTGTAATCCCGGCACTTTGGGAGGCCTAGGCAGGTGGATCATCTGAGGTCAGGAGTTCAAGACCGGCCTGGCCAATATGGCAAAACCCCATCTCTACTAAAAATACAAAAATTATCCGGGTGTGGTGGCGGGCACCCGTAATCCCAGCTACTCAGGAGTCAGAGGCAGGAAAATCGCTAGAAGCTGGGAGGCAGAGGTTGCAGTGGGCCAAGATTGTACCATTGCACTCCAGCCTGGGCAACAGAACAAGATTCTATGTCAAAAAAAAAAAGCCAGGTGCGGTGGCTCACGCCTGTGGTCCCGGCACTTTGGGAGGCTGAAGCAGGCGGATCACCTGAGGTCAGGAGTTCGAGACCAGCCTGGCCAAAATGGGGAAACCCCGTCTCTACTAAAAATACAAAAATTAACCCGGTGTGTGACCAATATCTGTACTCCCAGCTACTCAGGAGTCAGGCAGGAGAACTGCTTGAACCTGGGAGGCGGAACTACAGTGAGCAGAGATGGCGCCATTGCACTCCAGCCTGGGTGACAAGAGCAAAACTCCATCTCAAAAAAAAAAAAAAAAAAAAAAAAAAAAACCTCCCAGAATGGTATACTTGTTGAGCTCTTGTGTCTGTTTTTTAGTAGTTCCCATTTTAGTAGTTCCCAGGCTCTTTGCTTTGTTTTTTTGAGATAAGGTCTCATTTTAACGCCCAGGCTGGAGTGCAGTGGTGCAATCATGGCTCACCTCGACATCCAGACTTAAGTGAACCACCTGCCTCAGCCTCCCAAGTAGCTGAGACTACAGAAGTGCACGACCATGACTGGCTAAATTTTTTGTATTAATATTTTTTGTTGAGATGGGGTTTCCCTGTGTTGCCCAGGCTGGACTTGAACTCCTGGGCTCAGGTAATCTGCCTGCTTCAGCCTCCCAAAGTGTTGGGATTACAGGTGTGAGCCACCATGCCCAGCCACCAGTCTTCCAAACTTTTTTTTTTTTTTTGAGACAGAGTCTCACTCTGCTCTGTGGCCCAGGCTGGGGCACAGTGGCACAATCTGAGCTCACTGCAACCTTCACCTCCCGGGTTCAAGCGATTCTCCTGCCTCAGCCTCCCAAGTAGCTGGGATTACAGGCGCCCGCCCAGCCCCAAGTCTGGTTTTTTTTTTTTTTTTTTTTTTTTAGACGGAGTCTCCCTCTGTCGTCAGTGCAGTGGCCCGATCTCGGCTCACTGCAACCTCTGCCTCCCGGGTTCAAGCAATTCTCCTGCCTCAGCCTCCCGAGTAGCTGGGACTACAGGCACACATCACCACGCCCATTTAATTTTTTTGTATTTTTAGTAGAGATGGGGTTTCACCCTGTTGGCCAGAATGGTCTCAATCTCTTGACCTTGTAATCCGCCCTCCTCAACCTCCCAAAGTGCTGGGATTACAGGGGTGAGCCACCACGCCCGGCCCTTTTTCTGTTTTTCAGTAGAGACAGGGTTTCACCATGTTGGCCAGACTGGTCTCGAACTCCTGACCTCAAGTGATCCACCCTCCTTGGCCTCCCAAAGTGCTGGGATTACAAGCGTGAGCCACCGCACCCAGCTAAGTCTTTCAACTTTCTATCACGCTACTGTTATTTCTCATTGCTGTTAATATATCTGCCTCTGAAAACATTGCTTTTCTACTTGCTGCCAATATGTACATCAGAAAAGAAAGCTAGATAGAATCATGTGTAAAGTAAAAGTTCTCAAAGAGGCCATAAAGAACTCTCCAGACCAGAGGCTAAAGCAGGAGGACAGTTTAAGCCCAGAAGTTGGAGGCCAGCCTGGGCAACATAACAAGACCCCCATTTCTACCAAAAAAAAAAAAAAAAAAAAGAACTCCCCTTTCTAAAATCTGCTCAAGCTTCAGTGAAAAGACATTTAGTCTTCAATTCCTGATTTCGAAATGTGTTTCAGGAATGAAAATAGTTAACTGCACAAAGTCCACAGCAAATGTTTATAAACCCGAAAAGAAAAATGCAGTACTTGTTTCAAAACCCGCCCTTTATAAAAAACTAAAATTATAATCAAGATTAATTCCACTTAGAAAAATTATTAAGAATATTTTAACATGACTTTAAAAAGCAATATGAAAAACGTCAATGAAAAATATTTGACCTGGCCAGCCACGGTGCCTCACACATGTAATTAAAGCACTTTGGGAAAACTAGGTGGGTGGATCATTTGAATTTAAGAGTTTGAGACCAGCCTGGGCAACATGGCTAAACCCTGTCTCTACAAAATATACAAAAGCCAGGCATGGTGGCATACACCTGTAGTTCCAGCTACTCGGGAGACTGAGGTAGGAGGACTGCTTGAGCCCAGGATGTTGAGGCTGCAGTGAGCCATGACCATACCACTATACTCCAACCTGGCCAACAGGGTAAGACTCAGTCTCAAAAAAAAGGAAATTTAAAAAAAAACTGATCATTGGCAACACTGTTCAATAAAGCCTCTCAAGGCAATGGTTTCAGGAGACCAACATTCTAAAGTTCTGATACAGTTAATAAAAATAAACCACGTTCACTTATATTGCCGACAAGCCTCATACCACAACTAATGAGTTTTACAAAGACTTCATTATAGAATGAAATTTTATTACATTCCCAAAATGTAGTTAGCTATTAATCATGGCACGAAACTGACATTTTCGGGCTGGACACAGTGGCTCACACCTGTAACACCAGCATGTTAGGAGGCCTAAGTGGGGTGGATCACTCGAGGCCATGAGTTCAAGATCAACATGGCAAAACTCCACATCTACTGAAAATACAAAAAAACTAGGCAGGCACTGTGGGGCGCACCAGTAGTTCCAACTACTTGGGAGGCTGAGGTGGGAGGATGGCTTGAACCCGGGAGACAGAGGTTGCAGTGAGCCGTATTTGCAACACTGCACTCCAGCCTTAGCAACAGAGCCAGATCCTATCACAAAAATAAATAAATAAATAAATAAATAAATAAATAAAACAAATTGACATTGTAAAGTCACTTGACACAACTTCAGGGTTAAAATTACAAGCAATCTATGTAAGAATCTTTAAATGTTAATGAGAATTTCAAATTTTCACATGAATGCAAACACAAATAATTACCAGCAAATAAAAAGTTAAGGTTGCCAGGCATGGGAGGCCAAGGCAGGTGGATCACTTGAGGCCAGAAGTTCCAGACCAGCCTGGCCAATATGGTGAAACCCCATCTCTACTAAAATACAAAAATTAGCCAGGCGAGATGGTGCGTGCCTGCAGTCCCAGCTACTCAGGAGGCTGAGGCAGAAAAATCGCTTTAACCTGGGAGGCAGAGGTTGCAATGAGCCGAGATCGCACCACTGCACTCCAGCCTAGGTGACAGAGCGAGACTCCGTCTCGGAAAAAAAAGAAAAAAAAAAAGTTAAGGTTAACAGCTGTGACAAGTTTTCATAAACAACCCAGACTCATAAAAAAAATACCAAACCAGGCCGGACGCGGTGGCTCATGCCTATAATCCCAGCACTTTGGGAAGCCGAGGCGGGCAGATCAAGAGGTCGGGAGATTGAGACAATCCTGGCTAACACAGTGAAACCCCATCTCTACTTAAAATGCATAAAAAAAATTAGCCGGGCATGGTGGCGGGCGCATGTAGTCCCAGCTACTCGGGAGGCTGAGGCAGGAGAATGGCATGAACCTGGGAGGTGGAGCTTGCAGTGAGCTGAGATTGTGTCACCGCACTCTAGCCTGGGCGACAGAGCGAGATTTCTCAAAAAAAAAAAAAAAAAAAAAAAAAAAAAAAAACTAAACCAAACTGGTCACGGTGGCTCACACCTGTAATCCCAGCACTTTGGGAGGACGAGGCGGGTGGATCATCTAAGGTCAGGAGTTCGAGACCAGCCTGGCCAACATGATGAAACCCCATCTCTACTAAAAATACAAAAATTAGCCAGGCATGGTGGCACACAGCTGTTATCCCAGCTACTCAGGAGGCTGAGGCAGGACAATCACTTGAACCTAGGAGGCGGAGGTTGCAGTAAGCCGAGATCACATCACTGCATTCCAGCCTGGGTGACAGGGTAAGATCCTGCAACACACACACACAAACAATAATAATAATTTAAAAAACCAGCCAGGCATAGTGGCTCACACCTGTAATCCCAGCACCTTGGGAGGCCAAGGAGGGCAAATTGTTTGAGGTCAGGAATTCAAGGCCATCCTGGGCAACAGGTAAAATCTCTGTCCCTACAAAATAAAAACAAACAAAAAAGCTAGGCGCAGTGGCTTATGCCTGTAATTCCAGCACTTCAGGAGGCCAAGGTATATGGATCACCTGAGGTCGGGAGTTCGAGACCAGCCTGGCCAACATGATAAAACCCCATCTCTACCAATAATACAAAAATTAGCCAGGTGTAGTGGCGCATGCCTATAATCCCAGCTACTCGGGAGGCTGAGGCATGAGAATCATTTGAACGCAAGAGGCAGAGGTTGCACTGAGCCGATATCCTGCCACTGCACCCCACCCTAGGCAACAGAGTGAAACAAAAATTTTGCTGGGCATAGTGGCGCATGCCTGTGGTCCCAGCTACTCAGGAGGCTGAGATAGGAGGATCACTTGGGCCTGAGAACTCGAGGTTGCAATGAGCCATGATGGCACCACTGCACTCCCGCCTGGGTGACAGAGCTAGAACCTGTCTCAAAAAAATAAGGCGAGGCGCAGTGGCTCATGCTGTAATCCCAAAACTTTGGGAGGCCAAGACAGGCAGATCACCTAAGGTCAGGAGTTCAAGACGAGCCTGGCCAACATGGTGAAACCCCATCTCTACTAAAAAAAAATACAAAAATTTGCCAGGTGTAGTGGTGCATGCCTGTAATCCCAGCTACTCAGGAGGCTGAGGCAGGAGAATCACTGGAACCTGGGAAGTGGAGGTTACAGTGAGCCGAGATTATGCCACTGCTTTCCAGACTGGGTGACAGAGTGAGACTCTGTCTCAAAATAAATAAATAACCAAGGATTTAACATTTATGTAGATTTCACACCACGTAAGTACAGAACCACATACATTAAAAACAAAGAAAAGAAAATAGACCTCCTATTTTAGCAAGCCAAAATCAAGGTTACAAAAAGATATCCTGAAGGGCAAGTACTGTCCGTGACTGTATTCCATAAAACAAGCCTGTTAGGGGGCCGGACGCAGCAGCTCACGCCTGTAATTCCAGCACTTTGGGAGGCTGTTGGGCGGATCACAAGGTCAGGAGATCGACACCATCCTGGCCAACATGGTGAAACCCCGTCTCTACTAAAAATACAAAAATTAGCTGGGCATCACAGTGTGCGCCTGTAGTACCAACTACATGGGAGGCTAAGGCAGGAGAATCGCTTGAACCCGGGAGGCAGAGGTTGCAGTGAGCTGAGATCGTGCCACTGCACTCCAGCCTGGTGACAGAGCGAGACTCCATCTAATTAAAAAAAAAAAAACAGGCCTGTTAGGAACCAGACTGCACAACAGGAGCTGTGTGAGCATTAGCACCTGAGCCCCACCTGTTAGATCAGGTGCAGCATTAGGTTCTTATAGAAGCACAAACCCTACTGGGAACTGCATATAGCAAGAGATGTAGGTTGTATGCTCTTTATGAGAATCTAACAAATGCATAATGATCTGAGGTGGAACAATTTTTTTTTTTTTAGACGGAGTCTCACTTTGTCCCCCAGGCTGAAGTACAGTGGTGCTATCTCAGCTCACTGCAAGCTCTGCCTCCCGGGTTTCATGCCATTCTCTTGCCTCGGCCTCCGGAGTAGCTGTGACTACAGGCGCCCTCCACCGCGCCCAGCTAATTTTTTTGTATTTTTAGTAGAGGGGGGTTTCACCATGTTAGCCAGGATGGTCTCGATCTCCTGACCTCGTGATCTGCCCGCCTCGGCCTCCCAAAGTGCTGGGATTACAGGCGTGAGCCACCGTGCCCGGCCGGTGGAACAGTTTCATCTCAAAATCATCCCCTGCCCCTATGGAAAAACCATCTTCCACAAAACCGGTCCCTAGTGTTAAAAAGGTTGAGGACCATTGCCTTAAAATACACAGCATGATCTTGTGTATATATTACGTTTCTATTTATTTCAAGGGAGGGGCCCCAGAACTTAAAATTTAAAAATAAAAATAAAGGGAGGGGGCTCGGTGCAGTGGCTCACACCTGTAATCTCAGCACTTTGGGAAGCTGAGGCAGGAGGATCACTTGAGCCCAGGAGTTTGAGACCAATCTGGGCAACATGGCAGGACCCTGTCTCTACAAAAAATTTAAATGTTAGCCAGCTGGTGTACACCTGTAGTTCCAGCTACTCAGGAGGCTAAGACAGGAGAAATGCTTGGCCCCATAGATTGAGGCTGCACTCCAGCCTGGGTGACAGAGGGAGACCTTGACTCTAAAAAAATAAATAAAGGGAGAGGTGTAATAAAATCCTACAAATATTGCTTTGGGCAAGTCCCCTAATCTCTCAAAGCTTAGAGTTTTTGCCTTCCATTTTTAAGATTTAGGATTTTTTGTTGTTGTTGTTGTTGTTACTGTTTTTTAAGAGACAGGGTAGGCTGCGCACGGTGGCTCATGCCTATAATCCCAGCACTTTGGGAGGCCAAGGCAGGTGGATCGCTTAAGGTCAGGAGTTCGAGATGAGCCTAACCAACATGGTGAAACCCTGTCTCTGCTAAAAATACAAAAATTAGCTGAGTGGGGTAGCAGGCACCTGTAATCTCAGCTACTCAGAAGGCTGAGGCAGGAGAATCGCTTGAACCCGGGAAACAGAGGTTGCAGTGAGCTGAGATTGCACCACTGCACTCCAGCCTGGGAAAGAGCAAAACTGTCTCAAAAAAAAAAAAAACACCTTAGCTCATGAGGCTGGGCGGGGGTGGCTCACGCCTGTAATCCCAGCACTTTGGGAGGCCGAGGCAAGCGAATCACCTGAGGTCAGGAGTTCAAGAGCAGCCTGGCCAACATGGTGAAACTCCATATCTACTAAAAATGCAAAACTTAGCCAGGCATGGTGGCGGGTGCCTGTAATCCCAGCTATTCGGGAGGGCTAAGGCAGGAGAATTGCTTGAACCTGGGAGGCGGAGGTTGCAGTGAGCCAAGATCACGCCACTGCACTCCAGCCTGGGCGACAGAGACTCTGTCTCAAAAACAAACAAAAAAACCCTTAGATGGTAACAGTAACATCATAGATGACCCAGATATCCTTTGGAAAAAAACAAAAAAAACACAAGTACTTTCATTTAAAAAGATACGGCAGCGGCCAAGCACGGTGGCTCATGCCTGTAATCCCAGAACTTTGGGAGGCTGAGGCAGGTGGATCACCTGAGGTCAGGAGTTTGAGACCATTCTAGCCAACATGGTGAAACCCTGTCTCTACTAAAAATACAAAAATTAGCCAGGCGTGGTGGTGTGCGCATGTAGACCCAGCTACTCAGGAGGCTGAGGCAGGAGAATCACTTGAACCCGGGAGGCAAAGGTTGCAGTAAGCAGAGATCGTGCCACTGCACTCCAGCCTGGGCGACAGAGCAAGACTCCGTCTCAAAAAAAAAAAAAAAAAAAAAAGATAATAGGTGTGACTGTTAATAAACTGTTTACATCTCCGTTGAAGTTGTCACAATCACTTGAAATAGCTAAAAAAAAAAATAGGGTTTTGTTCATGCTCAACTATTTACACAACATCAAAATACTATCACTAGTCAAAACAGAAAATTGTAATTCTAGAGAACAATCTTCTAAAACCTTAAAATTCGTTTCAAAGTAAAAAAACAATACTTTGCTAAGGTGACAGTTCTAACACGGCTGTAGCTATTTAGGACAAAAAAATGAGATCCTCCTTTTTTTGTTTGTTTGTTTGTTTTGAGACAGAGTCTCGCTCTGTTGCCCAGGCTGGAGTGTAATGGCATGATCTCAGCTCACTGCAACCTCCGCACTCATTGCAACCTCCGGGATCAAGCAATTCTCTTCCCTCAGCCTCCCAAGAAGCTGGGATTACAGGCGCCCACCACCATGCCCGGCTAATTTTTGTATTTTTAGTAGAGATGGGGGTTTCACCATGTTGGCCAGACTAGTCTCAAACTCCTGACCCCAGGTGATCCACCCGCCTCAGCCTCCTAAAGTGCTGGGATTACAGGTATGAGCCACCGCGCCTGGCCTTGAGATCCTCCTTTAAGTCAAAATATATGGCTATTAAATAGCTACAATATGAGTTAACATCCCTTATGTAGAAGTATAAACCATTGCTAATTAGAGTAACACTGAAAATACAAGTTTACATTTAACCAAAAAAAGGAACACCATGACTGATCCCATGTTTTCACTGTTTCAGAATGTGGAATCTTTAAGCAACTACAGGCTTACATTTTTCTCTTAAAAAAAAAAAAAGAAAAAGAAAAAGAAAACCAAAGCAAGTTTTGGCCCAAACTTAAAAAGTTTATTTTCTCCACATACTTGAAACAAAAACTAAACTAATTAGGTAAAATACGTAAGCCCAAAAGAAAAACAAAACATGTCTCTTTGGTTAGTAATAGCCATCTACAATTTACCTCTAATGACCCTCAATGTCAATTAACTTTTTTGGTCTAACTTCAGAGATGGTTAGTATCAATGTGCACATAAAAGAATAACAAAGGATGATGCCATTTAAACCTTATAAATTACTAATGAAGCCACATGACTAATTAACCTAGATAAAAAGCAAACGGCTAAATACCCAACCTTCAAATCTTTGCTCAAATGTTAGCTCCTCAATTAAGTTCCCCCAATCCATTTAAAATTGTAACTCATTCCCCTCCCCACACTCCCTATACCTTTAATCTGCTTTCTTCTAATTCCATAGCTCTTATACACTATTATACATAGGCTGGTAATTTAATGTCTCATTGTCTGCCTAGTCACATTAGAATGTAAACTCCAAAAGGACAATATGTTTGCTTTATTCACTGATTCATCCCAAAAACCCCATGTACATAGATGCTTCAATAAAGCTGTATTCAACGTAGATATTTTAGGCCCTTCTACAAGATATTTAACTGCAAAAGATGAACAGTCTCACTGAAATTTAAATGGAAGCATGATGAACAACTACATTAAATCACAGCACATTTTTTTTTTTTTTGAGATAGAGTCTCACTCTGTCTCCCAGGCTGGAGTGCAGTGGCACAATCTCAGCTGACTGCAACCTCCGCCTCCTGGGCTCAAGTGATGCTCCTGCCTCAGCCTCCCAAGTAGCTGGGATTACAGGCGCCTGGCTAAACAGCACAATTTTTAAGTTGCAATGCCTCAAGAGAAAGAAGCAGTAAAAATACTAAGCTGAAAATCACTAAAAGAAAAATATTTTATTCAGACTGAATCCTGTATCCCAAGCAATTCTAATGTCATATTATTTAGGTTTAGGAATAGAGTAACAATTGTAAATCCATATTTTTATTTTTAATGGGGAAGGGAATGTAGAAGAAGAAGAGTCAACCAGCGAAAATTCCCAATAGTGCCATGAAATTACAAAAAAGTTACCAAAAATAACTTGGTCATAGGCTAGCAGCTAATAAAAAACACTTTCAGATGAAAAAGAAAGGTTAACAACAACAACAAAGCTTTAGAACAGTTCCTCAGGAATTTCATTCCTGCACTTTACTCAGTACTATCAGCACGACAGATAAACCAAGTACCCTCATTAATAATAATGGTTACAGGTTTCAAAACATCTTCACATATATTACCTTATTAAATCCTCAGAGGAACCAAATTAAACTCAAATATCAATAATCCAGTAACTAACAAAAGCACTTAATAATATATGCACTTGACAGTAAAAATGCAATTTTTCCTTTAAAAATTCCCCACAATATTTGACAAACTACAAAGAAACCATTCCATGGAAGAGCAACCTTCTTGACACTGGAAGTAATACAAGTCTTCTAAAGAATAATAGAGCACCGCTAGCAAGAGCCATAAAAATCCTGAAGCCCTCTGAACTAGTAAAACCACTCTTGGTAACTTTCTCTAAGGAAATAATTACACTGAAGCAAAAAGCTATTTAAAAATGTTCACTGCACCACTATCTATAACAAAAAAGTGGAAACCCAATTCCCAACAATAGAATGGTTAAGTAAAAACCTTACAGCCGGGCGCAGTGGCTCACGCCTGCAATCCCAGCACTTTGGGAGGCCGAGGCGGGCGCATCACCTGAGGTCGGTAGTACGAGACCAAACTGGCCAACATGGTGAAACCTTGTCTCTACCAAAAATACAAAAATTAGCCAAGCGTGGTGGAACATTCCTGTAGCCCCAGCTACTCAAGAGGCTGAGGTGGGAGAATCGCTTGAACCCAGGAGTCAGAGGCTGCAGTGAGCTGAGATCGTACCACTGCACTTCAGACTGGGCAAACACCGAGACTCTGTCTCAAAAAAAAAAAAAAAAATTTACATTTACAATACAACGTTCAGGGGAAAAAAGCTAACTACAAAATAACATACACAATCACCTCTACTACATAAAAATGAAAAGGTAAAAAGCAAAAATAAGAATTAGACTGATGGTTGGGGGCAGTGGCTCATTCCTGCCTGTAATCCTGGCACTTTGGGAGGCCGAGGCTGGCGAATCACTTGAGGTCAGGAGGAGTTCGAGACCAGCCTGGCCAACATGGTGAAACCCCATCTCTACTAAAAATACAAAAATTGGCCAGGGGCAGTAGCTCACGCCTGTAATCCCAGCACTTTGGGAGGCCAAGGCAGGCGGATCACTTGAGGTCAGGAGTTCGAGACCAGCCTGGCCAACATGGCAAAATCCCGTCCTCACTAAAAATACAAAAAAATTAGCCAGGTGTGGTAGCACGAACCTGTAATCCCAGCTACTGGGGAGGCTGAGGCTGGAGAATCACTTAAATGAACCCAGGAGACAGAGACTGCAGTAAGCTGAGATCAGGCCACTGCACTCCAGCCTGGGCGACAGAGTGAGATTCCATCCAAAACACACACACACACACACACACACACACACACACACACACAAAATTAGATTACAGTAAAATTATGTTCTAATATTGTGATTACATTATCTTTCCTAAAACAGCCACCTTCAAAAATATATATAACAAAGAACAAAATAAATCACTTCTGAAAGTCATGAAAAACTATTCACACACACACACACAAAGTCAAATTATGAAATGTTTCTTAAAGCAGATGTGAATTTCCAGACTTTCAAGCATATTTTGCTATCTCGAAACTTGTCAAACCGAATGCTGCATTTTTTTTCACCCTTGCTCTCAGAGACTTATTTTCACTGTTGATACGCACAAACCTAAGTGAGGAGATTCTAGAAGCTGAAACTTATTTACAAGGAATGCAGGAAAGTGATTCAAATTCAAAGTAATTCTACAAGTACATTAACGATCTGTTCAAGAATAAAACTTCACATTACACAAATCCAACACAGTAAACAAAATTTCACCTATTCATCAGAAAGAATAAGGGCTGCCATTTAGGTCTCAAGTAAAAGAACTTAAAGCAAGGAAAAATCTAAATTAACCTTAAATTGTTGTAAAGCCTCAAGGAACAGAAAAAAGACCTTGTGGTACTAAAACATTCCAAATATCTTTGATCACTCAAACTACTCAGGAGCAAATTCTCTTATAATCTAATTTTTAAGCCTAGTAGTCAATGCAACTTAATAACCTTAGTTTTAATGTTTATATATTTGAACATGTTGAATTATCTGCCAAATCTCTTCCTAATACCTAAGAAAGTAAAAACAGAATACATCCTTTTCTATAAAAGTTGTATTTTAAATTTTTTCATTTTTCGCTAGATGCCAACGAAAAAGGGAAACTGAAGTTACCCTACTTGGGGAAACGATCACTTCATCTGAACTAGTTTGGCTAAGTAGTGTTTGGGATGCTTCAGACTCAGAGAAGGGGAAGGGGGGGCGGGGCGTGTAAAGTCAAATAACCGACTGTTTCCGCCCCCTTTGAAGGCAGCAGAATTCCTTAAAAACCAGCTGATTCCTCTTGATGGGGAATTTCTGCTGTAAATAAAAATTCTTTGGAAATGGGTTGCTGAAAATGTGTTTTCAAAAAGAAAACTCGGGTGAATGAAAAATCCTCTTATTCCACCTTCCAAAGCCCAAGATGCCTATTTAAGGAGGACGCCGGTCACCCGCCGTCAAGCCGGCGGCCTAGGCCTAAAGAAGGCACAGTAGTGCCTACAACACGGATGGACTTGAGGCACAAGGGAAATGGACTTGCGTGCCCTTGGTAAGCTCTGGCGGCACTCCCGAAGTTAAGGACACCGGCCACAATGGAATGGAGTCTATTGACGTTTCCTTCTCCCTTTGAACACTAAGCATTTTCTTAGTTCGTGAAATACGAACTGACAACCGCCCGCCACCCCCAACAGGCCCTCCTGCACAAACACACCCTCGAGTCAAACCCAGTTAGCCGGGACAACACTGAGCCCCCAGCCCCTACTACAACCCCGGCTTAGGAGGGAAAAAGACGCTAGTAAACACCCGCCTTTCTGCCTTCAGGAACCCGACCACGTCCCCTGCTGCAATCTCTCTCTCCTAGCATTTCCGAAATTGGGGCGGGGGTTGGGATAAGTGCGCAGGGTGCCCGCCCCCTGCCACCAGCACCGCCACCCCGGATCTCCAGGGTCCAGCCTGGGTCCAGCCCTCACCCACCGATGTTCCACAGGCGCCTTCTCCACTGCGGCCTCGAACAGCAATGCGGATCGGCCACCACCCGCGCGCCGGAGAGGTCTGGCGGGGGAAGGAGGAAGGCCGGGACGGGGCCGGGCACTCCCCACCCCTTCCCTTCCCCAGGTGGGGGAGGGTGGAACGCTGCCGGAGGCCACATGGAGCCCCACGATTTCAGGGGAGTTCGGGAGCCCCCGCCGCCGCCTCGGACACGAACGCAGAGGGGTGCGGGGGCCAAGGCCCACTTGTCTCCACCCCGTCCTCCGATCTTTCCCAGGACTCGGAGGGGGCGGGGAGAGAGCCCCGACAGACCCTGATGATTCCGGAGGAGCCCGGTGCCTACCCCTTTAACCGGCACGGGGGACGCGGCCCTAACTTCTCCCCTCCAGAGATGTCCCCCATGGAGGGGGACATGTTCCGGAAAACGCCACCACAGCCTCCAGACCCCTCCAACGTTCACACCTAAACCGGGAGTGGAGGAGCTGCCCGAGCATCCCCACGCTGCGGGCGGAGGATCGTGCGGAAGGGGGAGCCGGGGCTGACCATCGCCGCTACCCGAGAACCCCTCCCAACACGCGTGGGGAGGGGAGGCCGCCCGCTCCCTCCATCTTGACCGCCGGGGGAGGGGGCGGGGATGCTGCGGGAGGCTGGACAGGCCTGACAATCCCAGAGGACCCCGGCTGCGCCCACCGGCCGAGCCTCGGGGCTCAGGCCCGAGCGAGTCTCCCCCGCGCTGCCGGCCCCCAGCCCACCCCGGGTAGCCCGGCGGGTCACGGGGCGGGGACGGCGGCGCGGGCCGCGGGGGAGGGGACGCCGGGCCCGGAGCGGAGGGGGCTGGGGTGCCGACACCCACCTGCCCAGGCCGGGCCTCCCGCCGCCGGAGGTCGCCGCGACCACCGAGGAGGGAGCCGTGGCCGAGGACGAGGAGACCGAGGACGAGGACGGCGAAGGCGCGGCGGCGGGCGACGCTAGAAGGCCGCTGCCGCCGGGCTTGCGGACATTGGCAGCCGCGGGCGGCGGCTGCTGCTGCTGCTGCTGCTGCTGCTGTTGCTGCTGCTGCTGCTGCTGCTGCTGCTGCTGCTGCTGCTGGGGCTTCAGCGACATGGTGAGGGGCCCATACACCGGCTCGCACGCCGGGCGGGGACAGCCGGGAGCCGGGCGCGCCAAGGAGACGCCGGAACGCGGCGGGGACGCGCGGGCGCCGAGCGGGGAGGCGCGGGTTGGCGCGGCCGGAGGGGCGCCCGGGCTGGCGAGGGGGAGAAGGAGGACGACGAAGGGGCGGGGAGGCCCGCCGAGACCAAGGAGCCGCCGGGAGCCGGGCCGAAACGCGCCGCCGCCGTTGCCGTTGCTACCAAAACAGTCTGAGGCGGAGGGAGGCGAGCTCTGCCGGGAGGGAGGGGGGCCGGGGCCGGGCGGGGGAGGGGCGGCGGAGGGATACGGTCCCGGGGCCGCGCCACCGCCGCCCCGCCCGCTCCGCCGCGCCGGCCGCTGGAGCGAGCGCCACCCGGGCCACCTGGCTGCGGCGAAGCGGCGAGACTCGGTGGCCACCGCGGGACTCCGAGGAGCTGCGGCCGCTGAGCGCATCGGAGGGCGGGCGCGCCGAGGCGCCGGGTGGGAGCGGAGGTGCGGATAGGGACTCTTTACCGGAAGTCGGAGGGGTCAGACGGAAGCAGAACGTGAGGTGGCCCCGGGGCCGGGAGGGACACGTGAGGAGCGGGCGGCGCGCTGGGTTGCTTTCTCGGGGGTCGGGTGAGGGCCAGGCGGCGGTCCCTACCCGGATCCGCCTTCCTCAAGGCGGGTCTGCCCTTCGGGGAGGGCGTGTCGGTCTCAGCCTCTGGGGCCTGCCTGGTGTGGAGGACAGGAGAGAAGCATTTCTTCTCCTACTGTATTCCTTCAGCATCTTCACTTCTGCGGGGACCTAGTTTGCCCCCACCTGATGCAACCCAGAAAATGGACTGACTGCGAGTGCCTTGGGGCGGAGAATGTGTCTTGCTACGTGTAAAGCACCTAGAACCCTGCCAGATTCAGGGGACACAGCATCCTGCCGTTTTCCTGCCGTCCCCCGCCCGCCACACAGTAGGCGCTCCAGTGGCTCGGGGCATCTACCAGGCAGGCCGCGCTGTCCTGCCCTGCCGGGGCTGGAGTGGAGCAACCCTCCGGGGCCACCCACATCTGGGTACCTTTTCCCCACTTTTTCCACCCCAGCCGCGCACAGTCACCAGAAAACTCTTTTAGGTATCTGACCTTCATTTGAACCTATGTTCCCTCACTTGAACTTCTTTTTCCTCATTCATGAGATTCTAAAGGAAATATATGGGATTGGGACTGGTAGAACTACGGATAATGGGATCTCCCTCGGTAGAGACAGAGCCGACCTCAAAACAATGTGCGAACTTTAGACCTTGGACCCTTTAGAAGTTTTAATTTAACTTACCCAGCCAGCACAGTAGACTCTTTTTAAAATGTGTTGCAGTTAAACTGGAAGCAAGTAGAAAGTAGGTAACTTTTTTTTTTTTTTTTGAGCAGTGAATCTATTGTTTTTTAAAGTGAAATGACTTCAGGAAATAATAGGGGAAGAAACACCAAAATTCCCCTCAATGTCCTAGAACTGTCCAGATAAAGGTAAAGACTTAGATAAACGTGGAGAATGATTGAACCAGCAGTTTTCAGTAGTCCAACTGAAATTAACCTCCTAGATAGTCCAGGCAAAAATGATCATTGTATTCTGCCAATGTAGGAAATCAGTTTTATTTCCCATCTAAGGTAAAAAGTAGATCAAGGGACCATTGCAAAACCCTTTAAAAATTAACCTAGCCTAGCCAACATGGTGAAACCCCGTCTCTACCAAAAATATAAAAATTAGCCGGGTGTGGTGGTGGGCGCCTGTAATCCCAGCTACTCGGGAGGCTGATACAGGAGAATTGCTTGAATCCGGGAGGTGGAGGTTGCAGTCAGCCGAGATCATGCACTCCAGCCTGGGCGACAGAGCGAGACTCCGTCTCAAAAAATAAATAAATAAATAAATAAATAAAGTAACCTAAAGGAAACTGGAACTAAAAAACCAGTTGAAACAAAAAAATACCTGTACCCGGCTGTGGTACAGGCCAGGGCTGCTGTGAGGGGAAGCTCCTGGAGAGGGTGACATGGGGCAGGGACCCAAATGAGCATGGGCATGAGGATCCTGGGGAGAAACGCTCCAGGTGGAGGGCACAGCGAGGGCAAAGGCTCTGAGGGGGGAGTCTGAGGAACAGCAAGGAGGCCTGCAATGGAGCAGGTCGTCAATGGTGTCCCGTTATATTCTTTCTTTAATAGAAATACAAACACTTGGCCTGGCGCGGTGGCTCACACCTGTAATCCCAGCACTCTGGGAGGCCGAGGCGGATGGATCACCTGAGGTCAGGAGTTCAAGACCAGCGTGGCCAACATGGTGAAACCCCATCGCTACTAAAAATACGAAAAAATTAGCTGGGCGTGGTGGTGGGCATCTGTGATCTCAGCTACGCAGGATGCTGAGGCAGGAGAATCGCTTGAACCCAGGAGGCGGAGGTTACAGTGACCAAAGAGGGCACCACTGCACTCCAGCCTGGGCAACAAGAGCGAAACTTTATCTAAAAAAAATAAAAATAAAAAAATACAATCACTTTTCTCTGATTGGAATCAAGGTCCCAGAATACAATCTTAAGAACAAGTTTTGGCCAGTGTGGTGGCTCACGCCTGTAATCCCAGCACTTTGGGAGGCAGTGGCCGGTGGATCACCTGAGGTCAGGAGTTCGAGACCAGCCTGGCCAATTTTTAGTAGAGCCCATCTCTACTAAAAATACAAAAATTAGCTGGGTGTGGTGATGCGCACCTGTAGTCCCAGCTACTTGGGAGGCTGAGGCAGGAGAATGGTGTGAACCTGGGAGGCGGTGCTTGCAGTGAGCGGAGATCACACCACTGCACTCCAGCCTGGGCGACAGAGCGAGACTCCGTCTCAAAAAAAAAATAGTAAGTTTCAGGTCGATGGAAGTTGAATAAGAAGGCCTAGGCTGGATACAGTGGCCTACACCTATAATCCCAGCACTTTGGAAGGCCAAGGCAGGCAGATCCTTTGAACCAAGGAGTAGGAGACCAGCCTGGGCAACATAGTGAGACCCTCCTCTCCATAAAAAATTTTTCAAAATTAAAAAAAAAGAAGGCCTGAAGCTGACATAGCTGAGAAAGTTTGTTTTAACTCACTACCATTGAATAAAAACTTAATAGTTTTATCAAGATATAATTTACATACTATGAAATTCACCTATTTTGTGTACAATTTAATGATTCTCAGTAAATTTACACAGTAAATTTGCACAACCATTGCCACTAATTTCAGAACATTTCCATTACCCCAAAAAGATCCTTCACGATGGTGGGCAGTTTGGTTCCCATCCTTAGCCCCAGGCAACCACTCATCTACATTTTCTCTCTATGGATTTGTCCAGATTTTTCACATAAGTAGAATCTTACAGCATGCAGCCTTTTGTGTCTGCCTTCTTTCATTTGTCATAATGTTTTTGAGGTTTATCTAAGGTTGTGGCATGTAGCAGTATTTCATTCCTTATTATTGCTATGTCATATTCCATGTATGGACATACCACATTTTGTGTCTACTTTCCAATTGTGGATGTTTAGATTGTGTCAACTTTTTGAGTATTATGAAAATGCTGCTGGGGCTGAGATTGGTGGCTCACTCCTGTAATCCCAACACTTTAGGATACCGAGATGGGAGGATCACTTGAATACCCCGGAGTTTGAAACCAGCCTGGGCAACATAGAGAGACCCTGTCTCTATGAAAAACTTTAAAAATAAAAAATTAGCTGGTTGGCTGGGCGTGGTGGCTCATGCCTATAATCCCAGCACTTTGGGAGGCCGAGGTGGGTGGATCACCTGAGATCAGGAGTTCGAGACCAGCCTGGCCTACATGGTGAAATCCCGTCTCTACTAAAAATACAAAAAATTAGCCAGGCGTGGTGGCGGGCACCTGTAATCTCAGCTACTTGGGAGGCTGAGGCAGGAGAATTGCTTGAACCCAGGAGGCGGAGGTTACAGTGAGCCGAGATTGCACCATTGCACTGAAGCCTGGGTGACACAGCAATACTCTGTCTCCAAAAAAAAAAAAAAAAAAAAATTAGCTGGTCATGGTGACACGCACCTATAGTCCCAGCTACTAGGGAGGCTGAAGCAGAAGGACCGCTTGAGCCCAGGAGATCGAGGTTGCTGTGAGCTACGAATGCGCCACTGCACTCTAGCCTGGGCAACAGACCAAGACCCTGTCTCGTTCAGTTAATAGAGTTGCTAAAACACACACACACACACACAAAGAAGAAGAAAGAAAAATAATAATGCTGCTATGAACATTTGTGAACATATATCTTCATGTGGATATATGTTTTCATTTATCTTGGGTTGGTTCCTACAAACGAAATTGTTGGGTGATGTGGTAAGTTTATTTAGTTATTTTTATTTTATTTATTTATTTATGGAAACTACCTTTTCTCTGGACTTCAGAAGGCTTAAGCTTTATATGAAAATATCAGAGTAGGCTGGGCACGGTGGCTCATGCCTGTAATCCCAGCACTTTGGGAGACTGAGGTGGGCTGATCACCTGAGGTCAAGAGATCGAGACCATCCTTGCCAACATGGTGAAACCCTGTCTCTATTAAAAATACAAAAATTAGCCAGGCATGGTGGCTCACACCTGTAATCCCAGCACTTTGGGAGGCCAAGGCGGGCAGATCACGAGGTCAGGAGATCAAGGCCATCCTGGCTAACACAGTGAAACCCCGTCTCTACTAAAAATACAAAAAAATAGGTGGGTGTGGTGGCGGGCGCCTGTAGTCCCAGCTACTTGGGAGGCTGAGGCAGGAGAATGGCATGAACTCGGGAGGCGGAGCTTGCAGTGAGGTGAGATGGCGCCACTGCACTCCAGCCTGGGCAACAGAGCGAGACTCTGTCTCAAAAAAAAGAAAATACAAAAATTAGCTGGGCATGGTGGTGTGCGCCTGTAGTCCTAACTACTCGGGAGGCTGAGGCAGGAGAATCGCTTGAACCTGGCAGGCAGAGGTTGCAGTGAGTCAAGATCATGCCACTGCACTCCAGCCTGGTGACAGAGTGACACTCCATCTCAAAAAAATAATATATATATATATATATATTAGAGTAATGCACCTTAAAAGAAGTGGTGTGTCAGGCAGCCTCTATGGCGGTCCCAAATGATTCTTGCCTCCTGGTGTTCAGACACTGTGAAATCCTCCCCACCTGAATTTTAAAACAATACTTTTTTTTTTTTTTTTCGAGACAGGGTCTTACTCTGCCAACCAGGCTGGAGTACAGTTCCACAGTCTGGCTCACTGCAGCGTCTGCCTCCCAGGCGGTCCCGAGCAATCCTCCCATCTCAGCCTTCAGAGTATCAGGGACTACAGGCGTGCACCACCACACCCAGCTAATTTTTGTTAGTTTTGGGGGATTTGTTTGTTTGTTTTTAGGCAGAGTCTTGCTGTCTTGCCCAGGCTGGAATGCAGTGGCACAATCTCAGTTCACTGTAACCTCCACCTCCTGGGTTCAAGTGATCCTCCCCGCTCAGCCTTCCATGTAGCTGGGATTATAGGCACTCACCACCATGTCCAGCTAATTTTTGTATTTTTAGTAGAGACGACATTTTTTCGTGTTGGCCAGAACTCCTCACCTCAAGTGATCTGCCTGCCTTGGCCTCCCAAAGTGCTGGGATTACAGGTGTGAGCCACCACACCACCCAACCAACAAGTGAACATTTTGAATGCTCTCCTTTCCCCCAAATGATTTTCAGACACCCCTTTAAACAAAAGCAGAGAGTCAGAGAGTTGTCTGCAAAGGCAGTGAACAGTACTCTCCTGAAAGAGTTCTGATATTGAGAAGTGTTGCTAAAATTTCAACTTCAAAAATAGCTATGGTCATTTCAGCCACTATTTCAGAAATGAAAAAATATCTCAAGTGAGAGAGCTTGGAGACAGACCTGCAGACTTGAGAATCTAGTCCAGTAGATTCTATACTTGCTTTCTGATTTTCATTGACCCTTCAGCAAGCCACAGGGCCCTTTTATTAGCCTGTTAATAATTTTCTTTTCTTTTCTTTTCTTTTTTGTTTTTTTTGAGACAGATTCTTGCTCTGTTGCCCAGGCTAGAGTGCAGTGGTGTGATCTCAGCTCACTGAAACCTCCACCTCCTGAATTCAAGTGATTCTTCTGCCTCAGCCTCCCGAGTAGCTGGGATTACAGGCGCCTGCCACTGTGCATGGCTAATTTTTGTATTTTTAGTAGAGGTGGGGTTTCGCCATGTTGGCCAGGGTGGTCTCAAACTCCTGACCTCATGATCTGCCCGCCCCGGCCTCCCAAAGTGCTGGGATTACAGGTGTGAGCCACTGCGCCCAGCTTTTTTTTTTTTTTTTTTTTTTTTGGAGACAGAGTCTTGCTCTGTCACCCAGGCTAGAGTGCAGTGGCACAATCTCAGCTCACTGCAACTTCCGCCTCCTGGGTTCAAGCGATTCTTCTGCCTCAGCCTCCTAAGTAGCTGGCACTACAGGTGTGCGCCACCACACCTGGCCAATTTTTTTATTTCCTTTTTTTTTTTTTTTTTTTTTTTGAGACAGAGTCTCGCTCTGTCACCCAGGCTGGAGTGCAGTGGCGCAATCTCGGCTCACTGCCAGCTCCGCCTCCTGGGTTCACGCCATTCTCCTGCCTCAGCCTCCCAAGTAGCTAGGACTGCAGGTGCCTGCCACCAGGCCTGGCTAATTTTTTGTATTTTTAGTAGAGACGGGGTTTCACCGTGTTAGCCAGGATGGTCTCGATCTCCTGACCTCGTGATCCGCCCGCCTCGGCCTCCCAAAGTGCTGGGATTACAGACGTGAGCCACCGCGCCTGGCAATTTTTTTATTTCTAATAGAGACACGGTTTTGCCATGTTGGCCAGGCTGGTCTCGAACTCCTGACCTCAGGTGATCCACGCACCTCAGCCTCCCAAAATGCTGGGATTACAGGCATGAGCCACCATGCCCGGCTGAGCCTGTTAATTTTCATCACTTCAATGATTAATCAAGTCTCGGGATTTGGGGATGACAAACTGATGGAGCTATGTGGAGCAGAACTGTGAAGAGTGATTTGCTTGCACTCACTACAGAAGCACATATCACGTGATCCAGTATTCCTGGCAATTCACATTTCTGCAATCATGCCTTTTCATTTCTCTTCCCTTGATCTTGCTTAATGTATGATGGTATATTATTCACTAAATACTCTTGATTTCACTTTCAAAAGCATGAAAATTAATTCAAATCAGAACTAACTTGCATCCCCCCAAATTCATCCTCTTCAAGTTTTTGTATAGACCAATCCTCATTTAAAAAAAAAAAAAAAAGCTGATGTAATATCAAAAATAGGACCATGGCTAATTAAACCAATGTTTTTTTTTCTAACCACAGTTACTCAGAATTCGTAGAGGCTCATCTATTTGTAGACACTCCAGGAATCCCAAAAGAGTAAATGCAATAAAAAACATTATTTTTTAAAAAATGAAAAGTGTTTGGGGGAGAGGGCTTCCAGGAAGGGATTATTTATATACCTTGTATGCAAAGTAACAACTTTCCCATAGCTTTGAAAAAAGTGGAGGGTGGGGAGCTGCAAAATTGTAGAGAACACAGCAACATTATTTAAAGAACTTTTAAATGAGCCATTCCCTCCAAACGAGCACACTCCTGGTTGTTAAGTTGCTCGTTTTGTTTTACCTTGTGGGATAGAATAATGATGCAGTAACATTATTCACAAGGCAAAGCTGGTTGCCAGCTGAAATAGACACAGAAGAAAGAATTCTTTATTTTTCATTGGAAATGCTTGGGCTCTGCAGAGCCAGAAATTTAAAGAAACTCAGCCTTTTGTTTTTCCTCTTTCTCCCTTTTTTGTTTTTATTCACCCTCTTTTTGGGGGTGAGTTTGGTGGGCAGCCTGTTGTTTCAGGGCCACAGATTTATGGAAAGCCAAAGATCTGAATTATGCATGATTTGGAGAATGCAGGAAGGGATTTAAAATGGATGTGTGCAGACCAGTGACAGCTGAACTGGCCATTAGCATGGGATCTTGTTAGTTTGCTACGGGATATGGTGAGTCCTACAATGGAACCCCAGAAGAGTCAGACTATAATGAATACTGACATTGCTGACCTTCGATCTCAGAATAGGGACTTGGATACTTGTTCCCCAGTAGAATCACATATGGGCTTAACCATACACACCGTTTTGCTTAAGCCCTCATATTATCAAAATATTTATTTTCCACAAGGTAAGGCAGGGCTAGAGAACAATAATGAAAATAATAATTGTAGACCTTTACATGGCATTTACTATGTGCCAACCATGTTCTAAGTGCTACCTGCACAATAACTTGCTCATTGAATCCTTGTAACAACCTGCTGCTTCTCAATGCCAAGGACAGTTTTGCCCCAGCTCCATCGCCCCCTCAGGAGACATTTGGCAATGTCTAGACACATTTCTGTTTGTTACGATTGGAGGGGAATGCCCCTGGCATCTTGTGAGTACAGACCAGGTATGCTGTTTGTGATATTGTTAAATATAGGTATTTGGTGTTTGTTCTGGTTTTCTGGCACGCAACTCCTAAAATTCTCAAAATCTCCAAAGTGATGGACAGCCTCAGTATGAGGGCTGGACATAGGAAAGACAATAATGACAGGGTTGGGACTCTTCAGCCCCATCCCCCAGCCTCTGGGGAGGGAAAGGAGGCTGAAGGTTAACTTGATCACCAGTGGCCAATGATTTAATCAATCATGCCAATAGAATGAAGCTTCCATAAAAATCAAGAAGAGCTGGGTTATGAGAGCTTTTATTTATTATTATTATTTTTTTTTTTGAGATGGAATCTTGCTCTGTCACACAGACTGGGTTGCAGTGGCGTGATCTCAGCCCTGTGCAACCCCTGCCTCCCTGGGTTCAAGCGATTTTCATGCCTCAGCCTGCTGAGTACTGGGATTACAGGCATGCGCCACCACGCCCGGCTAATTTTTGTATTTTTAGTAGAGACGGGATTTCACCATGTTGGCGAGGCTGATCTCGAACCCCTGGCCTCAGGTGATCAAACCGCCTCGGCCTCCCAAAATGCTGGGGTTACGGGCATGAGCCACTGCACCTGGCCTATTTTTTTTTTTCTTTGAGTCGGAGTCTCGCTGTGTTGCCCAGGCTGGAGTGCAGTGGCGCGATGTCAGCTCACTGCAAGTTCCGCCTCCCAGGTTCACGCTATTCTCCTGCCTCAGCTTCCCAACTAGCTGGGACTACAGGCGCCCGCCACCATGCCTGGCTAATTTTTTTTTTTTTTTTTTGTATTTTTAGTAGAGACGGGTTTTCACCGTGTTAGCCAGGATGGTCTTGATCTCCTGACCTTGTGATCCGCCCGCTGAGCTAGAGCAATCCTTCTGTCTAAGCTGTCCAAAGTGCTGGGAATACAGGCATGAGCCACCATACCCATCCCTGAGAGCTTCTAGATAGCTGAAGAGGTGGAGGTTCGTGGAGTGTGACTTGCCCCTTCCCACATACCTTGCCCTGCACCTCTCTTCCATCTGGCTGTATCTTTTGTAATAACAGAAGTGTTTCCCTCAGTTCTGTGACCCACCCTAGCAAAGTAATCAAACCTGAGGAGGGGATCGTGGGAACCCCGATCTCTTGCTGGGGCCCTGATTTACAGCCTGTTTTTGTGACTGGCATCTGAAGTCGGGGGTGTGATCCGATGCTATCTCCAGGTAGATAGTGCCAGAATTGAATTGAATTAGAGGTGCCCAGATGCACACTCCAGAATTGCTTGCTTGATATGTGGTAGGGAAAAGCCCCCACACATCTAGTGTCAAACGCATTTTTTTTTTTTTTTGAGGCAGAGTCTCCCTCTGTCACCCAAGCTGGAGTGCAGTGGCGCAATCTCGGCTCACTGCAACCTCCACCTCCTGGGTTCAAGCAGTTCTCCTGCCTCAGCCTCCTGAGTAGCTGGGATTACAGGCACGCACCACCATGCCCAGCTAATTTTTGTATTTTTTTCGAAGAGACAGAGTTTCACCATGTTGGCCAGGCTGGTCTTGAACTCCTGGCCTCAGGTGATCCGTCTGCCTTGGCCTCCCAAAGTGCTGGGATTACAGGCCTGAGCCACTGCGCCTGGCTGGTGTCAGAAGCCTTTTTTTTTTTTTTTTTTTTTTTTTTTGAGGTGGAGTCTTGCTCTGTTGCGCAGTCTAGGGTACAATGATGTGATCTCGGCTCACTGCAAACTCCGCCTCCTGGGTTCAAGCAATTCTCCAGCCTCAGCTTCCCGAGTAGCTGGGATTACAGGCACCCGCCATCATGCCCAACTAATTATTGTATTTTTAGTAGAGACGGGGTTTCACCATGTTGGCCAGGCTGGTCTTGAACTCCTGACCTCAGGTGATCTACCCACCTCAGCCTCCCAAAGTGCTGGGATTACAGGCGTGAGCCACCGCCCCAGCCCAGAAGCGTTCTATGTTGTATTGTGAGAGTATAGGAGAATCCAAATTTGTTTTTTTCTATGTCCTTATACTGTTGAACACCCTATAATGCACAGGACAATCTCCCAGCACAAAGAATTAATCCAGCCCAAAATGACGATGGTGCTGAGGTTAAGAAACCCTGTAGTAACCCTGAGAAGTAGATAGGATTATTATTCCCCTTTTACAGATGGGGAGACTAGGGCATACAGAGAGTGAGTCACTTTGTCTAAGGGCACATTTATTAAATGGTAAAGGTGCAATTCGAACCCAGAAAGTCTGTTTCCAACATCCGGGTTCTAAACTGCTTTCCTATATGGAATAGTAAAGGCCTGGCCGGGTGTGGTGGCTCACGCCTGTAATCCTAGCACTTTGGGAGTCCGAGGCGGGAGGATTGCCTGAACTGAGGAGTTCGAGACCAGCCTGGGCAACATGGTGAAACCCTATCTCTACTAAAATACAAAAAAAAAAATTAAATAGCTGGGCATGGCGTTGTGCGCCTATAGTCCCAGCTACTTGGGAGGCTAAGGCAGGAGAACTGCTTGAACCCAGGAGGTGGAGGTTGCAGTGAGCCAAGATCGTGCCACTGTGCTCCAGCCTGGCGACAGAGCAAGACTCCATCTCAAAAAAAAAAAAAAAAAAAAAAAAAGTAAAGGCCTAAGGTGGCTCTCTTGAAAAAAATCAGCTTCTCTCCTTTGTCTCATCAAATACAGGGCTCTAGTGAACTGGCACCACTGATGACTGCCTGTTTCTTTATTCAAGGAATAGTGATTATTATAGAAGTCACCACCTGCAAGGGACAAATTGGCAATGCCTTAAAAACTGACAGTGCACGCATGTTGGTTCCTATAGGAAAAAAATTAATTAAAAACAAAAACAAAAACAAAAAAACCAGGCACAGTGGCTCATGCCTGCAATCCAAGCACTTTGGGAAGCCGAGGCGTGTGGATCACCTGAGGTCAGGAGTTTGAGGCCAGCCCGGCCGACATGGTGAAACCCCGTCTCTACTAAAAATACAAAAAAAAAAATTAGCTGGGCGTGGTGGCGGGTGCTTGTAATCCCAGCTACTTGGGAGGCTGAGGCACGAGAATTGCTTGAACCCAGGAAGCCAAGGTTGCAGTGAGCTGAGATCGTGCCACTACACTGCAGCCTGGGTGACAAAGTGAGGCTCTCTCAAAAATATAATAAAAATTAAAAAATAGGCCAGGCGCAGAGGCCCACGCCTGTAATCCTAGCACTTTGGGAGGCCGAGGCGGGTGGATCACCTGAGGTCAGGAGTTTGAGACCAGCCTGACCAACATGTAGAAACGCTATCTCTACTGAAAATACAAAATTAGCCAGGCTGGTGCACATCCCTGTAATTCCAGCTACTCGGGAGGCTGAGCAAAGAGAATCGCTTGAACCCAGGAGGTAGAGGTGGAGGTGAGCCAAGATCATGCGATTGTACTCCAGCCTGGGCAACAAGAGTGAAACTCCATCTAAAAAAATACATAAAAATAAAGTAAATGAAAAAGAATTAGCTGGGCGTGGCGGGGCATGCCTGTGGTCCCAGCTACTCAGGAGGCTGAGGTGGGAGGATCACTTGGGCCTGGGAGGTCAAGGCTGCATGCAGTGAACCATGATTGTGCCACTGCACTCCAGCCTGAACAACAAAGCGAGATCATGTCTCAAAACAAAAAAAGAGGCTGGGCATCATGGCTCACGCCTGTAATCCCAGCACTTTGGGAGGCCGAGGCGGGCAGATCATTTGAGGTCGGGAGTTTGAGACTAGCCTGGCCAACATGGTGGTGAAACCGTGTCTCTATTAAAAATACAAAAATTAGAGCCGGGCATGGTGGCTCACACCTGTAATCCCAGCACTTTGGGAGGCCAAGGTGGGCGGATCACAAGGTCAGGAGTTCGACACCAGCCTGGCCAATATGGTGAAACCCCATCTCTACTAAAAATATAAAAAATTAGCCGAGTGTGGTGGTGTGCACCTGTAGTCCAAGCTAATTGGAAGGCTGAGGAAGGAGAATCACTTGAACCCAGGAGGCAGAGTTTACAGTGAGCCAAGATCATGCCACTGCACTCCAGCCTGGATGACAGAGTGAGACTCTATCCCAAAAAAACAAAAAACAGGCTGGGCGCAGTGGCTCACACCTGTAATCCCAGCACTTTGGGAGGCCGAGGCGGGCAGATCACGAGGTCAGGAGATCGAGACCATCCTGGTAACACGGTGAAACCCCCGTCTCTACTAAAAATAGAAAAAATTAGCCGGGCGTGTTGGCAGGCACCTGTAGTCCCAGCTACTCGTAGTCCTAGCTACTCAGGAGGCTGAGGCAAGAGAATGGCGTGAACCCAGGAGGCAGAGCTTGCAGTGAGCCGAGATTGCGCCACTGCACTCTAGACTGGGCGACACAGCCAGACTCTGTCTCAAAAAACAAACAAACAAACAAACAAAAATTAGCAGGGCTTGATGGTAGGTGCCTATAATCCTAGCTACTCAGGAGGCTGAGGCAAGACAATTGCTTCAACCCAGGGGGTGGAGCTTAGTGAGCTGAGATCGGGCCACTGCACTCCAGCCTGGGCGACAGGGAGAGACTTCGTCTCAAAAAATAAAAAGAGCTGGGGGCATGTTGGCCCATGCCTATAATCCCAGCACTTTGGGAGAGTGAGGCAGGCAGATCACGAGGCTGGGTGATCGAGACCACCCTGGCTAACACAGTGAAACCCGGTCTCTACTAAAAATTCAAAAAAAATTAGCCAGGTATGGTGGCCTGCACCTGCAGTCCCAGCTACTCGGGAGGCTGAGACAGGAGCGACAGGAGAATTACTTGAACCCAGGAGGTGGCGGTTGTAGTGAGCCAAGTTCGCACCACTGCACTTCAGCCTGGGTGACAGAGCAAGACTCCATCTCAAAAAAAAAAAGAAAAGAAAAGAAAAGAAAAGAAAAAATATCTTATTGTCTACACCACTTTACTTTTGTGTTATTCAAACAGAAACTACCATTTTCAAACTCTAGGCAGGAAATCCTAAGTCACACAGAAATAGAAAGGAAAGGCCATTTTCAGGAAGATTTTTTTGTTTTGTTTTGTTTTTATTTGTTTGTTTTGAGACACAGTCTAGCTCTGTCGCCCAGGCTGGAGTGCAATGGCATGAACTCGGCTCACTACAACCTCTGCCTCCCGGGTTCAAGCGATTCTCCTGCCTCAGCCTCCCGAGTAGCTGGGATTACAAGCGCACACCACCACGCCCAGCTAATTTTTGCATTTTTAGTAGAGATGGGGTTTCACTGTGTTGGCCAGGCTGGTCTTGAACTCCTGACCTCGTGATCCGCCCGCCTCAGCCTCCCAAAGTGCTGGGATTACAAGTGTGAGCCACCACGCCCAGCAGGAAATTTAATCCTGCATGCTTTTCTGCCACATTTGGATTTTTTTCTGCTGAAATGTCATATTGGCCAAATATAGGAGCAGCAGAAGCAGGCAGAGCCCTCTGCTCCTGTTGTCACCTACATGGAGTCAATCTGAGCATAGTGGGTACTTAATAATTTGATCTGAGACTAATTCTCAATTTTTGCAAGTTTGCTTAATTGGGCCTGCAATGGCACATGCTTCCTATGCACCTGCTAATGGCTACCAGCCATGGGCCAGGACGATGGGGCCAACATCCAACGCTACCCACAATGACCCAAGCAATTCCAGGCAGTTAGGGGACCTTCTTTACCTAAGTGTTGCCATCGTATGTGATTTCAGTGGAGAAGTTTCCTTTTTTTTTTTTTTTTTTTTTTGAGACAGGGATTAGCTCTGTCATCCAGGCTTGAGTGCAATGGTGTGATCTCAGCTGACTGTAACCCTCTCCTCCCAGTGATCCGCCCACCTCAGCCTCCCAAGCAGATACATGCGCACAGGGACAGGGATCACAGTTGCACACCACCATGCCTTGCTAATTTTTGTATTTTTTTGTAGAGACGTGGTCTCACCCTGTTGTCCAGGCTGGTCTCAAACTCCTGGGTCAAAGTGATCTATCTGCCTCGGCCTCCCAAAGTGCTGGGATTACAGGTGTGAGCCACTGTGCCTGGCCCAGAATTTTCATTCTCCCACTGGATGAAGCCATTTTTTTTTTTTTTTTTTTTTGAGACGGAGTCTCGCTCTGTTGCCCAGGGTGGAGTGCAGTGGCGCGATCTCGGCTCACTGCAAGCTCCGCCTACCGGGCTCACGCCATTCTCCTGCCTCAGCCTCTGGAGTAGCTGGGACTACAGGCGCCCACCACCACGTCCGGAGAGTTGTTTTTTTTTTTTGTATTTTTAGTGGAGATGGGGTTTCACCGTGTTAGCCAGGATGGTCTCGATCTCCTGACCTTGTGATCCACCCGCCTCGGCCTCCCAAAGTGCTGGGCTTACAGGCATGAGCCACCGCTCCCGGCCGAAGCCAATTTTTATTGCAGTTAGTTAATAGCTTGTGATGTCGCCTTGCAGGCATTGGGAAAAGCATCATTCTAAGTTCATCAGAAGACACTGGAACCAAGAAACCACAGGAGCCTTCAGGGGATCTACTCTTGGTCACTAGCCTTCTGCAGGCTTGAAAGAGGTTAGAACTGAGGCTCTCTGTGAGTTGGTCTCACTCTTCTTTGATCAGGGTTCTTGTTTCTTTCCATGTACATGTGACTAATCTCTATCCTCAGAGGGTCAACACAGGACAAATCTTGATGCAGCAATAAGCAATTTATAGTCTCCTGGTGTCCTGAAAATGACTCAAGAAATCCCGTTACTATGATTTCTAATGATCTTGACATGCGAATTTATTTTTCAGTTATGTAACCCTTTTTAAAAACTTCCTGAATATTTGTGTATTCGTTAGCTTCTGCTGTGTAACAAACCACTCACCCCCAACATAGTGGCTGAAAACAACAGATGTTATTTCTTTCTTAAGATTCTGAGAGTTGGCTGGGCACGGTAGCTCACGCCTGTAATCCCAGCACTTTGGGAGGCCGAGGCAGGCAGATCACCTGAGGTCAGGAGTTCAAGACCAACCTGACCAACATGGAGAAACCCCATCTCTACTAAAAATACAAAAACATTCATTCTGTCACCCAGGCTTAAGTGCAGTGACAAATCCCATCTCTACTAAAAATACAAAAAAGCCAGGCATGGTGGTGAACACCTGTAATCTCAGCTACTCAGGAGGCTGAGGTGGGAGAATCGCTTGAACCTGGGAGGTGGAGGTTGTGGTGAGCCGAGATCGCACCATTGCACTCCAGCTTGGGCAACAAGAGCAAATCTCCATCTCAAAAAAATAAAAATTTTCTGAGAGTTGGCTGGACACTTCTCTTCTGAGCTAGTTCAACTGGGGTTGGATGGTCTAGGATGTTCTCACTGACATGTCTGGCAACTGGCTGTTGGTCACCTGTGGATGATAGGGGCAGCATAGCCACAGGTCTGTAGTCATCTAGCAGGCTAGCCTGGACATATTCACATGGCCGTACATACTAGGTTCCCAAGAACAGCAAGAGAAGGCAGGCCCCACTGCACAGGCACTTTTTTTTTTTGGAGACGGAGTTTCGCTCTTGTCACCCAGACTGGAGTACAATGATGCGACCTCGGCTCACTGCAACCTCCGCCTCCCAGGTTCAAGCAATTCTTCTGCCTCAGCCTCTTCAGTAGCTGGGATTACAGGAATCTGCCACCATGCCCAGCTAATTTTTGTATTTTTAGTAGGGACAGGGTTTCGGCATGTTAGCCAGGCTGGTCTCGAACTCCTGACCTCAGGTGATCCTCTCACCTCAGCCTCCGAAAGTGCTGGTATTATAGGTATAAGCGATTGCACCCAGCCTTTTTTCTGAAACAGGATCTTGCTCTGGCACCCAGGCTAGAGTACAATGGCATGATCACAGTCACTGCAGCCTTCACCCCCGGGCTCAAGCAATCCTCCCACCTCAGCCTCCCCAGTAGCTGAGACCACAGGCACGCACTACCAGGCCTGGCTAATTTTTGTATTTGTTGTAGAGCCAGGGTCTCCCTGTGTTACCCAGGCTGGTCTTGAACTCTGCACAGGCACTTTTCAGGTCTTTTCTTGTGTCACATTTTCTAATGTCACATTAGCCAAAGCAAGACATGTGGCCAAACACAAAATTTGAGGGGTAGGGAAATATACAGCCAAATAACTTTGCAAAGGATGGGCATGTAGGGAGGAACCAATTGGTGGCTTTTTTGTGTAATCATCACAATTGGAGGCGAGATATTTGAATATCAATACAAAAACTTTTATTCTTTCTTTATTTACTTTTTGAGACGGAGTCTCGCTCTGTCGCCCAGGCTGGAGTGCAGTGTCGTGATCTTGGCTCACTGCAAGCTCCGCCTCCCGGGTTCATGCCATTCTCCTGCCTCAGCCTCCCAAGTAGCTGAGACTACAGGCGCCCGCCACCACGCCCAGCTAATTTTTTTGTATTTTTAGTAGAGATGGGGTTTCACCGTGTTAGCCAGGATGGTCTGGATCTCCTGACCTCATGATCCGCCCACCTCGCCTCCCAAAGGCTGGGATTACAGGCGTAAGCCACCACGCCTGGCCGAAAACTTGTTCTTTTAACAAGATGCCTTCCGGAATGCAGAACAAAGCTGAGAAGCCTTCTTTTAACAACCTGATGATTTCCAAACTCTAGATTCTTGGTCATCTCACCCTGGACTATTAGAACCATCCTGATGAAAATAGCACCAGGTATAGTTTCTGCACAGCTGCTTGTCCAGAAATGTGTGACCTTGGGAAGGTCATCCTCATTGTTCTTCATCGAAAACAAGGGGTTATACTAGATCTTCTCAAATTGCAAGGAACCTTTCAGAGGTCATGTTTCAGGAAAATGAAAGAACAGGCCATATGTGGAATGGCCCAATCGCTGCCTGTAGAGATAAGACAGCCAGAGAGGCTGAAATTTTCAGCTTTCATCCAGATTTTGGCATGGGCTGTGAGTCTATGATTTTTCAACTTTTCCTTCTCGTAGGCTTGTTTAAACCCTTTGATCTCATTTTATTGTGCAATATTATTACACCACTTTACAAATAGACCATTTATTCCAGGCTGACCGTAAAAGTCATTCCCGGCTGGGTGCAGTGGCTCAAGCCTGTAATCCCAATACTTTGGGAGTTCGAGGCAGGCAGATCACCTAAAGTCAGGAGTTCGACACCAGACTGACCAACATGTAGAAACCCCGCGTCTACTAAAAATAGGAAAATTAGGACCTGGCACAGTGGCTCACACCAGTAATCCCAGCACTTTCGGAGGCCAAGACGGGCGGATCACCTGAGGTCAGGAGTTCATCACCAGCCTGGCCAACATGGTGAAACCCCGTCTCTACTAAAAATACAAAAATTAGCCAGGAGTGGTGGCACATGCCTGTAATCACACCTACTCGGGAGCATGAGGCAGGAGATCTGCTGGAACCCAGGAGGCGGAGGTTGTAGTGAGCCGAGATCGTGCCACTGCACTCCAGCCTGGGAGACAGAGTGAGACTCCGTTAAAAAAAAAAAAAATAGGCCGGGCGTGGTGGCTCACGCCTGTAATCCCAGCACTTTGGGAGGCCGAGGCAGGCAGATCATGAGGTCAGGAGATTGAGACCATCTGGCTAACATTAGTGAAACCCCATCTCTACTAAAACTACAAAAAAATTAGCCGGCTGTGGTGGCGGGCACCTGTAGTCCCAGCTACTCGGGAGGCTGAGGCAAGAGAATGGCGGGAACCCTGGAGGCAGAGCTTGCAGTGAGCCGAGATCATGCCACTGCACTCCAGCCTGGGAGTGCAGACAGAGCGAGACTCCATCTCAAAAATAATAATAATAACAATAATAATAAAAGTACAAAAATTAGCCAGCGTGGTGGCAGGCGCCTGTAATCTGAGCTACTATGGAGGCTAAGGCAGGAGAATTGCTTGAACTCAGGAGGCCAAGATTGCAGTGAGTCAAGACGGCACCACCGCACTCCAGCCTGAGCAACAGAGCGAGACTCCATCACAAAAAAAAAAAAAAAAGTTATTTCTGTCCCCTATGGCTTGAAGGGCACTCATACTCATAGTTAGCAGAATCTTCAATAATACTAGAGCTTAAATGGGAGAGAGTCATACAGTAGATGCTTGAAAATGTTCAAATAAATGAAGGCCAGGAGGCTGGATGCAGTGACTCACACCTGTAATCCTAGCACTTTGGGAGGCCAAAGTGGGAGGATCTCTTGAGCCCAAGAGTTTGAGACCAGCCCTGGCAATATAGTGAGACCAAGTCTCTATAAAAAAAAAAAAAAAAATTTTTTTTTTTTTTGAGACAGAGGCTTGCTCTGTTGCTCAGGCTGGAGTGCAGTATCATGATCTCCGCTCCTGCAACCTCCGCCTCCCGGGCTCAAGCGATTATCTTGCCTCAGCCTCCTGAGTAGCTGGGATTACAGGCACCTGCCACCACGCCCAGCTAATTTTTGCATTTTTTTAGTAGAGTCAGGGTTTCACAATGTTGGCCAGGCTGGTCTTGAACTCCTGACCTCACGTGATCCTCCTGCCTCAGCCTCCGAAAGTGCTGGGATTACAGTCGTGAGCCACCGCACCTGGCCTCAAAAATTTTTTTAAATTAGCCGGGCATGGTGGCACGCATCTGTAGTCGCAGCTACTTCAGAGGTTGAAGTGGGAGGATTCCTTGAGCCTGGGAGGTTGAGGTTGCAGTGAGCCATGATCGCAGCACTGCACTCCAGCCTGAGCAACAGAGCAACACCCGGACTCAAAGAAAAAAAAAGACAAGAAAAGAAAGAAGAAAGGCAACTGAATAAAGAGAATCTACTTACAGTATTTCCCTAAGCATGCCCAATTGGACTTTTTTTTTTTTTTTTTGAGATGGAGTCTTACTTTGTCACCCAGGCTAGAGTGCAGTGGTGCAATCTTGGCTCACTGCAACCTCTGCCTCTGGGTTCAGGTGATTCTCCTGCCTCAGCCTCCCAAGTAGCTGGGACTATAGGCTCACGCCACCATGCCCGGCTAATTTTTGTATTTTTAGTAGACACAGGGTTTCACCATGTTGGTCAGGCTGGTCTCGAACTCCTGACTTCGTGATTCACCTGCCTCAGCCTCCTAAAGTGCTGGGATTACAGGCGTGAACCACTGTGTCTGGCCCAACTGGATTGCATCCTCCACCTCCCGAGTTCAAGCAGTTCTCTGCCTCAGCCTCCCGAGTAGCTGGGATTACAGGCGCCCACCACCACACCCAGCTATTTTTTTTTTTATTTTTATTTTTAGTAGAGACAGGGTTTCACCATCATGGCCAGGCTGATCTTGAACTCCCGATCTCGTGATCCACCTGCCTTGGCCTCCCAAAGTGCTGGGATTACAGGCGTGAGCCACCACGCCCAGCCTCCATAGACTATTTTTTAAACAATTTTACTCAGGTATAAGTCACACCCTATACAATTCACCCATTTAAAGTATATAGTTCAGTGAGTCTTTTAGTATATTCACACAGCTTTGCAACCATCACCATAGTATAATTTTAGAACATTTTTGCCGGTCATGGTAGCTCACACCTGTAATCTCAGTGCTTTGAGAGGCTAAGGTAGGAGGATTGCTTGAGGCCAGGAGTTCAAGATCAGCCTGGGCAATGTAGCGAGACCCTGTCTCCACAAAAAATAATCAGAAAAATTAGCCAGGCATTGGGGTGCATGCCTGTAGTCCCAGCTGCTAAGAAAGCTGAGGCAGGAGGATCACTTGAGGCCAGAAGTTGGAGGGTAGAGTGAGTTAGGATGGTGCCACTGCACGGCAGCCTGGGTGACAGAACAAAACTCTTTTTTTTTTTTTTTTGAGATGGAGTTTCGCTTTTGTTGCCCAAGCTGGAGTGCAATGGTGTGATCTTGGATCACTGCAACCTCTGCCTCCTGTGTTCAAGCAATTCTCCTGCCTCAGCCTCCCGAGTAGCTGGGATTACAGGCACGCACCACCATGTCCAGCTAATTTTTTGTATTTTTAGTAGAAACTGGGTTTCACCATGTTAGCCTAGCTGGTCTCGAACTTCTGACCTCAGGTGATCAGCCCCACCTGGCCTCCCAAAGTGCTGTGATTACAGGCGTGAGCAACCGCACCAAGCCTTTTTATTTTTTTTTTTTTTGTGGGTACCTAGAAGGTGTATATATTTACGGGGTACATGAGATGTTTTGTTTTGCTTTGAGATGGAGTCTTGCTGTGTTGCCCAGGCTGGAGTGCAGTGGCGCAATCTTACCTCACTGCAACCTCCACCTCCTGGGTTCAAGCAATTCTCCTGCCTCAGCCTCCCGAGTAGCTGGGATTACAGGTGTGCACCACCACGTCCGGCTAATTTTTGTATTTTTAGTAGAGGCAGGGTTTCACCATGTTGGCCAGGCTAGTCTCAAACTCCTGACCTCAAATGATCCACCCACCTTGGCCTCCCAAAGTGCTGGGATTACAGGCGTGGGCCACCGAGCCTGGACACGTGAAATGTTTTGATACAGACATGTCATATGTAATAATAACATCATGGAGGCAAGGAGCTGTTTTGTTTTATTTTGTTTTGTTTGAGACAGGATCTCTCTCTGTCACCCAGGCTGGATTTCAGTGGTGCGATCTTGGCTCACTGCAGCCTCCACCTCCCAGATTCAAGGGATCCTTCTACCTCAGCCTTCCAAGTATCTGGGACTACAGCCAGGTGCCACCACTCCCAGTTAATTAATTAATTAATTAATTAATTTGAGACACAGTCTTGCACTGTCACCCAGGCTGTAGTTCAGTGGCGTGATCTTGGCTCACTGCAGACTCTGCCTCCCTTGTTCAAGTGATTTTGGTGCCTCAGCCTCCCGAGTAGCTGGGAGTGCAATGGCGTGATCTTGGATCACTGCAACCTCTGCCTCCTGTGTGCAAGCAATTCTCCTGCCTCACACAAGCATGTGCCACCACACCCAGCGAATTTTTTTTTTTTTTTTTTTTTTTGGTATTTTTAGTAGAGGCGGGGTTTTGCTATGTTGGCCAGGCTGGTCTCAAACTCCTGAGATCAAGTGATCCACCCGCCTGGGCCTCCCAAAGTGCTGGGATTACAAGCGTGAGCCACCATGCCCAGCCTTCCCATTGAGATTTTTTTTTTTTAATTTTAAATTTAAATTTTTTTTTTAGAGATGGGGACCTGCCATGTTTCCCAGGCTGGACTTGAACTTCTGGCCTCAAGCAATCCTCCATCTCAGCCTCCCAACGTGTCGGGATTACAGGCTTGAACCACCACACCCAGCCCCCACTAAGATTTCTAATGGACTCCCTGAATTTAGGACATAGTCAGAGCTCCAGTCTCCTCTTCCCAGTTTCCCCATCTCAGGACACTCTACCTCCAGTCTTCCAGTTGCTCAATAAAACAACAACCTAGACCTAGACTTGTCCTTGGCTCCTCTTTTTCTCATTCCCTCTCTTCAATGCATCAGCAAATATGATTCGCTTGGCATTCTGCAATTTCTCCCACTTCTGTCACTAACACCCTTGTCCAACCACCATCATCCTCCCCACTGAGGGTTGCTGGAGCCTTCTAACATGTTTCCCTGTTTCCAGTCTTAGCCCCATCAAGTCCATTTTCCAAACAGCAGTCAGAGCAATCCTTTTAAAGTGCCAGTCATAGGACGTGCCTCCACTGCTAAGAACCTCTGAATGCCTCCCATGTCAGAGTAAATGCCACCTGTCTTTTTTTTTTTTTTTTTTTTTTTTTTTTAGATAGAGTCTTACTCCGTTGCCCAGGCTAGAGTGCAATGGCATGATCTTGGCTCTACTAACCCCTCCTGGATTCAAGTGATTCTCTTGCCTCAGCCTCCCGAGTAGCTGGGATTACAGGCGTGTGCCACCACACCTGGCTAATTTTTATATTTTTAGTAGAGACGGGGATTTACCATATTGGCCAGGCTGGTCTTGAACTCCTGACCTCCGGTGATGCGCTCGCCTCAGCTCCCAAAATGCTGGGATTATACCTGTGAGCCACCACACCCGGCCAATGCCACCTGTCTTTTTTTTTTTTTTTTTTGAGACTGAGTCTTGCTTTGTGGCCCAGGCTGGAGTGCGGTGGTGCAATCTCAGCTCACTGCAACCTCCCCATCCCAGGTTCAAGCGATTCTCCTGCCTCAACCTCCTGAGTAGCTGAGACTACAGGCGTGTGCCACCACACCTGGCTAATTTGTTGTATTTTTAGTAGAGATGGGGTTTCACCGTATTAGCTCAGGATGGTCTTGAACTCCTGAGCCCAAGTGATCTGCCCGCCTCAGCCTCCCAAGGTGCTGGGATTACAGGCGTAAGCCACCATGCCCGGCCAATGCCACCTGTCTTAACGTGACTTAGAAGGTCCTAGATATCCAATCCTTCACTACTTTCTCAGCTTTCACCTCCTTCCACTCTGCAACTTGTGCAGAGTAGGCCCTTTGCACTTGCCACTCCCTCTGCCCAGAATGCCCTTTCCCCAGGTATTCACATGGCTCAGTCCTTCATTCAGGTCCTTGGCCTTATTTTATTTTATTGTTGAGACAGGGTCTCCCTCTGTCGCCAGGCTGGAGTGCAGTGGTGCGATCTCGACTCACTGCAACCTCCACCTCCCGGGTTCAAACAACTCTTGTGCTTCAGCCTCCCGAGTAGCAGGGACTACAGGCGCATGCCACCATGCCCAGCTATTTTTTTTTTTTTCAGACAGAGTCTCACTCTGTCGCACAGGCTGGAGTGCAGTGGCACGATCTCGGCTCACTGCAAGCTCCGTCTCCCAGGTTCACGCCATTCTCCTGCCTCAGCCTCCCAGCCTCCTGGGACTACAGGCGCCCACCATCATGCCCGGCTAATTTTTGTATTTTTAGTAGAGATGGGGTTTCACTGTGTTAGCCAGGATGGTTTCGATCTCCTGACCTCATGATCTGCCCACCTTGGCCTCCCAGACTGCTGGGATTACAGGCGTGAGCCACTGCGCCTGGCCACCCAGCTAATTTTTGTATTTTTAACACATACGGGTTTTCACCATGTTCGCCAGGCTAGTCTTGAACTCCTGACCTCAAGTGATCCACCCTGCTTTGGCCTCCCAAAGTGCTGGGATTACAGGCATGAGTCACCTTGGCCTTATTTTATTGTATTTTTTTGAGATGGAGTCTTGCTCTGTCACCCAGGCTGGAGTGCAGTGGCGTGATCTCGGCTCACTGCAACCTCCACCTCTTGGGTTCAAGTGATTCTCGTGCCTCAGCCTTCTCAGTAGCTGTGACTACAGTCACCCGCCACCACGCCCAGCTAATTTTTTATATTTTTAGTAGAGACAGGGTTTCACCATGTTGGCCAGGATTGTCTTGAACTCCTGACTTCAAGTGATCTGCCCGCCTCGGCCTCCCAAAGTGCTGACATTACAGGTGTGATCCACCGCGCCCAGGCTCTTTTCTTTTCTTTTTTTTTTTTGAGAGAGGGTCTCCTGCTGTCATCCAGGCTGTACTGCAGTGGCACAATCATGGCTTTCTGCAGACTCAACCTCCCTGGGCTCAGGTGATCCTCCCACCTCAGCCTCCCAAGTATCCAGGACTATACCTGCACACCACCATGCCCGGCTAATTTTTTTGTTTTTTGTAGAGATGGGGTTTCACCATGTGGCCCAGGCTGGTCTCAAACTCCTGAGCTCAAGCGATCCAGCTGCCTTGGCCTCCCAAAGGGGTGGGATTACAGGAGTATTTTTTTGTTTTGAGATGGCGTCTCTGTCAGCCAGGCTGGAGTACAGTGGCAGAATCTTGGCTCCCTGCAGCCTCTGTTTCCCAGGGTCAAGTGATCCTCCCACCTCAGCCTCCAGAGTAGCTGGGACTACATGCGTACACCACAACGCCTGGCTAATTTTCTTTTCTTTCTTTTTTTTTTTTTTTTGGTAGAGATGGGGTTTTACCATGTTGCCCAGGCTAGTCTCAAACTCCTAAACTCAAGCAATCCTCCTGCCTTGGCCTTCCAAAGTGCTGGGGTTACAGGCATGAGCCCACCACACATCAGAATTCTCTCTCTGACATCTATCTAATCATACTGCCTTATGAGTCTCTCATTTCCCTGTCCCATATGGAATGAAGTTCAAATTTCGTAGTGCAGTCGGCACAGTCTTAATAACCTATTTTCTTTTTTTTTTTTTTTTTTGAGACGGAGTCTCGCTCTGTCACCTAGGCTGGAGTGCAGTGGCACGATCTCGGCTCACTGCAAACTCCGCCACCCGGGTTCATGCCATTCTCCTGCCTCAGCCTCCCGAGTAGCTGGGACTACAGGCGCCCGCCACCATGCCCGGCTAATTTTTGTATTTTTAGTAGAGACTGGGTTTCACCGTGTTAGCCAGGATCGTCTCGATCTCCTGACTTTGTGATCCTGCCTCAGCCTCCCAAAGTGCTGGGATTACAGCACCCGGCCTTAATAACCTATTTTCTTCCCATACCTACCCTGCTACCTGTTTAGTCTCCTATGCTGTTATAACACCTTGCCACAAACTTAGTGGATTAAAAGCACACAAATGTATTATCTTACAGTAATTGAGGCCAAAAGTCCAAACTGAGTATGTGTGGTTGTTTTTTTAGAGACGGGGTCTTGCTCTGTCACCCAGGCTGGAGTACAGTGGCATGATTATAGCTTACTGCAGCCTCAAACTCCTGCACTCAAGCGCTCCTACCCTCCTCAGCCTCCAGAGTAGCTGGGACTATAAGTGCGTGCCACCTCTAGCTAATTGTTTGAACATTTTTAGTAGAGATGAGATCTCGCTCTGTCGCCCAGGCTGGAGTGCAGTGGTGTGATCACGGCTCACTGCAGCCTTGATTTCCCAGGCTCACGTAATCTTCCCTCTTCAGCCTCCCCAGTAGCTGGGACAACAGGTGCGGGCTACTGCACCCAGCTAATTTTTGTGTTTTTTGTAGAGACAGGGTTTCGCTATGATGCCTAGGCTGGCCTTGAACTCCTGGACTCAAGCAATTTGCCCTCCTCGGCCTCTCAGAGTGCTGGGATTACAGGTATGAGCCACTGCACCCGGGTAATTTTTAAAAAATTTTTAGTAGAGACAAGGTCTTGCTGTGTCATCCAGGCTGATCTCGAACTCCTGGGCTCAAACCATCTTCCCACCTGGGATTTCACAGGTGTCAGTCACCCTGCCCGGCCCGAAATGAGTTTTAGGAAGTTAAATTCAAGGTGTTGGCCTGGCTGGTGTCTTCTCGGGGGTGCAGGGGAGAAGCTGATCCTTGCCTTCCCCAGCTTCTAGAGGCTGCCTGCAATCCTTGGCCCGCGATCCACATCACGTCACCTTTTCTCCCTCTACTTGCTTAGTCACACCACCTTCCACTGAACCTGTTCTCCCGCCTCCCTCTTAGGAGGAGGACATGTGATTGCATTTAGGGCCCATGTGGATAATGCAGGGTAACCTCCCCATCCTAAGATCATTCGTTTCATCACACCTGCAGAGTCTCTTCTGCTATATGAGGATTATTCACAGGCTCCAGGGTGAGGACATGGATATCTTTGGGGGGCCATTACTCTATCCAACTACATGACACCCACACTCTAGCCAGTGAGGAATTCCTTCGCACTCTTAGGATCCATCAGGCAGTTCCCTCTGTGCCTTTGCTTCTGCTGAGTGACTCTATGACTCTATCCTATGCCTTTCTACCCGCCAGTCTCTTTACTTCAAAGATTGGCTCCAGGGCACTTAACTTTTGTAGCTTTCCTTCACCCTCACAGCCAGGAAGAATTAAGTGCACCTGGCCGGGCACAGTGGCTCACGCCTGTAATCCCAGCACTTTGGGAGGCCGAGGCAGGCGAATCACCTGAGATCAGAAGTTCAAGACCAGCCTGGCCAACATGGCAAAACTCTGTCTCTAATAAAAATACAAAAATTAGCCAGTGTGGTGGCATGCACCTGTAATCCCAGCTACTCAGGAGGCTGAGGCAGGAGAATCACTTGAACCTGGGAGGTGGAGGTTGCAGTGAGCTGAGATCAAGCCACTGCACTCCAGCCTGGGCAACAGAGTGAGACTCAGTCTCAAAAAAAAAAAAAAAGAATGAAGTGCACCCTTTCTTGTGTTCCCACAGCATGGCATTTTATGATAGTGAATCATAGTAGCCAGTTTGCATGTCTGATCACTTGTTCAAATGTGAAGTCATTGGAAGGAGAGCACTATCATCCTATATCCTTGATCATCCTTTTTTGTTTTTTTAGTTGTTGTTGTTGTGTTGTTTTGAGACAGAGTCTCACTCTGTCGCCCAGGCTGGAGTACAATGGTGCCATCTTGGCTCACTGCAACCTCCACCTTCTGGGTTCAAGCGATTCTCCTGCCTCAGCCTCCCGAGTTGCTTTTTTTTTTTTTTTTTTTGAGACAAAGTCTCGCTTATGTCTCCCAGGCTGGAGTGCGATGGTGCGATCTCGGCTCACCTCTGCCTCCCGGGTTTGAGGGATTCTCCTGCCTCAGCCTCCCGAGTAGCTGGGATTACAGGCGCCTGCCACCACGCCCAGCTAATTTTTGTATTTTTAGTAGAGATGGGGTTTCACCATGTTGGCCAGGCTGGTCACGAACTCCTGACCTCAGGTGATCCACCTACCTCGGCCTCCCAAAGTGCCGGGATTACAGGCATGAGCCACCGCACCCGGCGGTTTTTTTTTTTTGTTTTTTTTTTGTTTTTTTTTTGTTTTTTTTTTGAGACAGAGTCTTGCTCTGTTGCCCAGGCTAGAGTGAGTGCAGTGGTGCGATCTCAGCTCACTGCAACCAGTGCCTCCCAGGTTCAAGCAATTCTCCTGCCTCAGCCTCCTGAGTAGCTGGGAGTACAGTTGCCCACCATCATGCCTGGCTAATTTTTTTGTATTTTTGGTAGAGATGGGGTTTCACCATGTTGGCCAGGCCGGTCTCAAACTCCTGACCTCAAATGAGCCACCGCGTCTGGCCTGATCATCCTTTTTGTTGTTGTTGTTGATTAAAGACGGGGTCTCACTCTGTTGCCCAGGCTGGACTGTAGCAGTGTGATCACAGTTCACTGTGGCCTCCAACTCCTGGACTCAAGCGATCCTCCCACCTCAGCCTCCCAAGTAACTGGGACTTCATTGTCCTTTTGGATGCATTTTGCAAGTGTGAAAGCACTGTCCAGTCCAGCTGATGTAATAGGTGCTAGCATTGTTGAGGTGAAAATGCCCAATTGCTGCCTTCAATTATGCAACGTCTTCTTGGTTTTACTCTGCCTGGCCTTTGTTTCTTCATCCATTCCTTCGTTTATTCCAGTAGCCCTTTGTTAAGGGGCTTCTCTGAGTGAGGCCTTGCATAAATGGAGGAAAGTTGTCCCCACTTTCAAAATGCACACCATCTAGCAGGGGGAGAATCATGAGCTCAGGGGCCATGAGGGAACAGGATGGGGGCCACTAACACTGCCTGCAGGAGAGCAGGGGTGGGAAGGCTCCAACACAGAGACACCAGCAGTGCTCACTGAGCTATGCTAAGCACTACCTCATTTAATCCTGTCTAGGCGGGGCAGATACTCTTATTATTGGCCTCATTTTATAGGCTGAAATCAGAAATGTTTAGAAATGTCAAGTAACTCTCCCTAGATCACAGAACCAGGCAGTAGCAGGGCTGGGATTTGAACCCAAGAAGGCCAACTCCAGGACCATGCAGATAACCTCTGCACCACACTGTTCTGCCTTGACAGCACACCTGGTCCCTGGAGGTAGTGACACCATGCTGCTCATCTGTGACCCCCCCACCCCAGGGTACCTTGTACTTACTAGGCCCTAGATGCATATTTAAGAAAATAGTTTATTTCCTGGCCAGGCGCGGTGGCTCACGCCTGTAATCCCAGCGCTTTGGGAGGCTGAGGCGGACAGATCACCTGAGATCAGGAGTTCAAGATCAGCCCGGCCAACATGGTGAAACCTCTTCTCTACTAAAAAATACAAAAATTAGCCGGTGTGGTGGTGCATACCTGTAGTCCCAGCTACTTGGGAGGCTGAGGTGGGAGAATCGTGTAAACCTGGGAGGTGGAGGTTGCAGTGAGCCAAGATCGTGCCACTGCACTCCAGCCTGGGTGACAGAGTGAGACTCCGTCTCACAAAAAAAAAAAAAAAAAAAATTATCCAGTCGTGGTGGCACACACCTGTAATCCCAGCCACTCAGGAGGCTGAGACATGAGAATCACCTCAACCTTGGAGGCAGAGGTTGCAGTGAGCCAAGATTGCCTCACTGTACTCCAGCCTGGGCAACAGAGCAAGACCCTGTCTCAAAAAATAAAGCATTATTTCCTTAGTATTAATTAATATTGATTTGAGAGCTCCTCTCCTGTTTCTGTGTGCCTAACACTCATTGAACCCTGTGCTAAGAATTTCACAGGCATTAAGTCATTTGAGCTTCATATCAGCCCTATTGAGTGAGTATTATTACCCCCCGCTTTTTTTTTTTTTTTTTTGAGACTGGGTTTCACTCTGTCACCCAGGCACAATCATAGCTCACTGTAACCTTGAACTCCTGGGATCCTCCCAGCTCAATCTCCTGAGTAGCTGAAACTACAGGTAAGGGCCACCACCCCTGGCTTCTTCTTCTTATTATTTTTATAGAGATGGGGTCTCACTATGTTGCTGGTCTAGAACTCCTGACCTCCAGTGATCCTCCTGACTCGGACTCCCAAAGTGTTAGGATTACAGGCGTGAACCACCACACCTGGCCAACCTACATTTTACCGAGCGAGAAACTAAAGTACAACAAGAGTAAGGAATTGGTTGCAGTTCACACAACTAGAAAAGGGAGAAAGAAGCTGGGATTTGAACCTAAGTAGCACAAGCACTTAATTACTTGTTTGTAATGACTATGCAAAACAGCTTGTTTAGAGGCTTATTTCATAGTAGAGAGATGCTTTTGTAGAGAGGGAATATGGAAGGACATAGAAATTAGGAGGTAGGGCTGGGTGCAGTGGCTCATGCCTATAATCCCAGCACTTTGGGAGGCCAAGGCGGGCAGATCACTTGACCTCAGGAGTTCAAGACCAGCCTGACCAACATGGTGAAACCTTGTCTCTACTAAAAATACAAAAATTAACCAGGTTTGGTGGCACATGCCTGTAGTCCCAGCTACTTGAGAGGCTGAGGGAGGAAAATCACTGGAACCTGGGAGGTGGAGGTTGTAGTGAGCCGAGATTGCACCACTGCACTCCAGCCTAGGTGACAGAGCAAGAATCCATCTAAAAAAAAAAAAAAGAAAGAAAGAAAAAAGAAATTAGGAGATAGGAGATCTGGGGTATGACCCTAGCTCTGTAGTGTGACCAGGTAAACTCAACCTTTGCTCTGTCATTTGGTCCACAAACACTGGGGATACAGTGAAGAAAGAGGCAAAACCCTGGCTTCTGAGATTTTATAGTTTAGTGCAAGGAGGGAGGAAAAATACATGCATATAGATGAACAGAACTGTTGCCGTGAAGGAAACAGTGTTGTGGCAAAGCGTAATAGCAAATGGCTGAACCAAGGATGCTTCAGGGAACACTCACTTTATTTAGCACGAGAAGGGAGATTTGGGGAAAGCCTCTCTTAAGAGAAAACATATAAGTTGAGACCTGAAGTAAGAGAAGGCCTCAGTCATTCAAAGGGTTCAGGAGGTCATTCCTGCAAGAACAGTACATGCAAAGGTCCTGAGGTTGGAAAGAGCTTAAAAAGTCAAAGCCAGCCGGGCGCGGTGGCTCATGCCTGTAATCCCAGCCCTTTGGGAGGCCAAGGTGGGTGGATCATGAGGTCAAGAGATTGAGACCATCCTGGCCAACATGGTAAAACCCCATCTCTACTAAAAATACAAAAACTAGCTTGGTGTGGTGGTGCATGCCTGTAGTCCCAGCTACTCGGGAGGCTGAGACAGAAGAATCTCTTGTACCCAGGAGGCGGAGGTTGCCAAGATTGCGGCACTGCACTCCAGCCTGGTGATAGAGCGAGACTCGGTTTCAAAAAAAAAAAAAAAAAAAAAAGTCCAAGCCATGTGTAATGGGTTGAATTGCATCTTCCCCAAACTCATATGCTGCAGTCCTAACCCACAGTACCTCACAATGTGACCTTATTTGAAGATAGGGTTTTTCTTTTTTTTTTTTTTTTGGAGACTGAGTTTCGCTCTTGTTGCCCAGGCTGGAGTGCAATGGTCCGATCTCAGCTCACCGCAACCTCCACCTCCTGGGTTCAAGCGATTCTCCTGCCTCAGCCTTCTGAGTAGCTGGGATTACAGGTGCCCACCACCACCCCCAGCTAATTTTGTATTTTTAGTAGGGATGGGTTTTCTCCATGTTGGCCAGGCTGGTCTCAAACTCCCGACCTCAGGTGATATGCCCACCTTGGCCTCCCAAAGTGCTGGGATTACAGGCGTGAGCCACTGTGCCCGGCTGGAGATAGGGTTTTTAACAGAAGTAACCAAGTTAAAATAAGGTCATTAGGATGTATCCTGACCCAATATGACTGGTGTCTTAAAAGAAGGAATAGACACATGCACACAGGGGAACGCCATGTGAACATCAAGGCAGAGATCTTTGCTGGGTACTTTTCATGAATTTGGCTGGGATAACTGGGCTTGCTTGGCTCGCATCCATGTGGTCTCTCATCCACCAGCAGACTAACCTGGGCTTGTTTTCCTAGAGGTTGGGCAGGGTTTTGAGACAGAATAGAATTTTAAAAGGCCTCTTGAGGCTCAGAACTATCACAGTATTGCCGGGTGCAGTGGCTCACGCCTGTAATCCCAGCACATTGGGAGGCCGAGGCAGGCAGATCACTTGAGGCCAGGGGTTCGAGACCAGCCTGGGCAACATGGTGAAACCCTGTCTCTACTAAAAATACAAAAATTAGCTGGGTATGGTAGCACATGCCTGTATTCCCATGAGGCTGAGGCAGGAGAATCGTTTGAACCTGGGAGGCAGAGGCTGCAGTAAACTGAGATTGTGCCACTGCACTCCAGCCTGGGCGACAGAGCAGGACTCCATCTCAAAAAAAAAAACAAAACAAAAAAAAACCGAAAACAAAAAACTGTCACAGTGTCACTTTTGCTGAAGCAAAAGTTGTGGTCTAAAGCAAGTCACAATACTAGCCCAGATTCAGTGGGGTGGAGATGCTGCAGAGTCACATTGTGGGGGGAATAGTGAGCCATTTTTTGCACACAGTCTACCATCGTGGCCTTCCCTGACTATCCTACCTAACACAGCCCTCCCCTCCATCCCAATTACACTGTTTTACCTTTTTTCCTGGCATTTACCATTATCTGAAATTTTATATATTAATAATTTTGTTTCTTTTCAGGATGGCAGTGCCTGGACTCTTGGCCTTCATTGCCATATCCCCAGAACCTAGGCAGTGTCTAGCACTTATTAGGCCCTGAAGGAATTTTTGAAAGAATAAAGAAATCATGTAAAAAGAATATGCATGCTGGGCACAGTGGCTCACACCTGTAATCCCAGCACTTTGGGAGGCCAATGAGGGCAGATCATTTGAGGTCAGGAGTTGGAGACCAACATGCCCAACATAGTGAAACCCGGTCTCTACTAAAAATACAAAAGTTAGCTGTGTGTGGTGGCATGTGCCTGTAATCCCAGCTACTCAGGAGGCTGAGGCAGGAGAATCACTTGAACCTGGGAGACAGAGGTTGCAATGAGCTGAGATTGTGCCACTGCACTCCAACCTGGGTGACAGAGCGAGACTCTATCTCAAAAAAAAAAAAAAGAATATGCATAGAAAATACCAGATGATTAGCTGGGTGTGGTGGTGTGTGCCTGTAGTCCCAGCTACTTGGGAGGCTAAGGTGAAATAATTGCTTGATCTTGGAAGGTTGAGGCTGCAGTAAGCTGTGATCATGCCACTGCACTCCAGCCTGAGTGACAGAGCAAGACCCTGTCTCAAAACAAACAAACAAAAATACCAGAAGAAACATACTCTAAAGTGTTAATAACTTCCTCTGTTGAGATAACCATTTAATTTTCTTTATGTTTTTCTGTTTAAAAAATATAACATTGTATTTTTTAACAGGGGAGATAGAAATATTCTACACATCTTGATTTGGGTAGTGATTACATGGGTATATACAATTCTCAAAACTCTTTGAACTGAGCACTTAAGATCTGCATTCTATTGTATGTTTTTTATTATTATTATTATTATTATTATTATTATTTGAGACAGAGTTTTGCTCTTGTTGCCCAGGCTGGAGTGAAATGGCACCATCTCTGCTCACTGCAACCTCCACCTCCCAGGTTCAAGCAATTCTCCTGCCTCAGCCTCCCAAGTAGCTGGGATTACAGGTGCACACCACCACGCCTAATTTTTTTGTATTTTTAGTAGAGATGGGATTTTGCCATTTTGGCCAGGCTGGTCTTGAACTGTTGACCTCAGGTGATACGCCTGCCTTGGCATCCCAAACTGCTGGGATTACAGGTGTGGGCCACTGCGTGGGGCCTATTGTATGTTAATTATATCTCAATAAAAAATAAACACACAAGCAATATACTTTTGTACTTCCTATTGTCTAATAGCATTTAGAATATATAAGTAGGGGCTGGGTGCGGTGGCTTGTGCCTGTAATCCCAGCACTTTGGGAGGCCGAGGTGGGTGGATCACGAGGTCAGGAGATCGAGACCATCCTGGCTAACACAGTGAAACCCCATGTCTACTAAAAATACAAAAAATTAGCCGGGTGTGGTGGCGGGCGCCTGTAGTCCCAGCCTCTTGGGAGGCTGAGGCAGGAGAATGGTGTGAACCTGGGAGGCAGAGCTTGCAGTTAGCCGAGATCACACCACTGCACTCCAGCCTGGGTGACAGAGTGAGACTCCATCTCAAAAAAAAAAAAAAAATGTATATATATATATATGTAGGATAAGTGGAAGTAGGTGAAAATCTAAGCTCAGTAGCACAAATATAGCTATTAAATCAGATCATAGGCCGGGTGTGGTGGCTCACGCCTGTAATCCCAGATTTTTGGGAGAATGAGGTGGGTGGATCCTTTGAGGTCAGGAGTTCGAGACCAGCCTGGCCAACATGATGAAACCCACCTCTGCTAAAAATACAAAAATTAGGCCGGGCACGGTGGCTCATGCCTGTAATCCCAGCACTTTGGGAGGCCAAGGTGGGTGGATCACCAGGTCAGGAGATCAAGACCAGCCTGGCCAACATGGTGAAGCCCCATCTCTACTAAAAATGCAAAAATTAGCTGGGCATGGTGGCGCATGCCTGTAATCCCAGCTACTTGGGAGGCTGAGGCAGGAGAATCACTTGAACCCGGGAGGCAGAGGTTGCAGTGAGCTGAGATTGCGCTACTGCACTCTAGCCTGGCAACAGAGCGAGATTCCATCTAAAAAAAAAAAAAAAAATTATCCAGGCGTGGTGGCAGGCACCTGTAGTCCCAGCTACTTGGGAGGCTGAGACAGGAGAATCGCTTAAACCCAGGAGGTGGAGGTTGCAGTGAGCCAAGATCACGCCACTGCACTCCAGCCTGGACAACAGAGCAAGACTGTCTCAAAAAAGGAAAAAACAAAACATCAGATCATAAATTGAACTTATAATTTTTTTGCTTTTTTTTAGACGGAGTCTCGCTCTGTCGCCAGGCTGGAGTGCAGTGGCGCAAGCTCCGACTCCCGGGTTCAAGTGATTCTCCTGCCTCAGCCTCCCAAGTAGCTGGGATTACTTGTGCACGCCACCACGCCCAGATAATTTTTGTATTTTTAGTAGAGATGGGTTTTCACCATGTTGGCCAGGATGGTCTCAATCTCCTGACCTTGTGATCTGCCCGCCTTGGCCTCCCAAAGTGCTGGAATTACAGGTGTGAGCCACTGTGCCTGGCTTAAACTTGTTATTACATAATATTTTTTTAAAAGGCCGGGTACAGTGGCTCATGCCTGTAATTGCAGCACTTTGGGAGGCCGAGGCAGGCAGATCACTTGAGGCCAAGAGTTTGAGACCAGCCTGGCCAACATGGTGAAACTCCGTCTCTACTAAAAATACAAAAAATTAGCCGGTGTGGTGCCGCAAGCCTGTAATCGCAGCTACTTGGGAGGCTGAGGCAGGAGAATTGCTTGAACCTGGGAGGCAGACGTGCAGTGAGCCAAGATTGCACCACTGCACTCTAGCCTAGGAGACTCCGTCTCAAAAAAAAAACAAAGAAAAAGCTCTTGGACACATTTGCACATAGACATACACACAGCACCAATTTACATCTGCCAAATTAATACTGCTTTATAATATCCTCTAGTAGTTTGTAAGATTTTTGTTCTAGGCTTTCTCTCTCCCCATGTGTTCTATAATAAATTGAAGCTGCAAATTAAGCCGATCCCTCCAGAATATCCAGTTTCCAGTTAGCCTGTTTATGCCCTTTTGACTGTGCCTCTGGGGGCACTAGCAGAGTCTGCACTCTTACAGAGAGAACACCTTAGAGCCTGGATAGCCTTGTTCCAGAAGCGACTTTTCCAATGGAGCAAATGTCCATGAGGCTCTGGATAAAGGAACTGAGATGTCAGTGTAAATGGCTGCTGTGGGCTGGGCCCCAAGCTCCCCAGGGTGAAGGGGCCAGCACAGTCCATTGAAATGAATTCCCAAGGCCAGCCCTTGGGTATAGTGGGGGGAAACCCTGTGGCTTTCCTCTTCCTTTCTCTTTATCAGCTCAGGCGCCCCATTGAAGTGGGAAAGGAGAGAGGGAGAAGTTAGAAAACTCCATGAGAAGAGGCTAGGGTTGGTGGCTCACGCCTGTAATCCCAGCACTTTGGGAGGCCGAGGTGGGCAGATCACCTGAGGTCAGGAGGTCCAGACCAGCCTGGCCAAGATAGTGAAACCCCATCTCTACTAAAAATACAAAAACTAGCTGGGCGTGGTGGCGGGTGCCTGTTAATCCCAGCTTCTCAGGAGACTGAGGCATGAGAATTGCTTGAACCCTGGAGGTGGAGGTTGCAGTTAGCCAAGATCGTGCCACTGTGCTCCAGTCTGGACAATAGAGCTAGAGACCCCTTCTCAAAAAAAAAAAAAAAAAAAAGGGAAGGCTGGCAGAGGGTGGATGTTCAGGACCCTGGACTCACACAAAAGTGGCCTCAACTCAGTACTCTCCTTTCCCAAAACAACAAAATCGAACTAGGAGCTGTGTCTTTTACATTCCCAAGTCCCAAAGTTAGGGGAGATAGTAGAGCAGAGTGGTGATAAGCCCAGGTTTTGGGGTTAGATGATGTCAAGATTGAGAATTGACTGAGTGTGGTGGACTGCAACTGTCATCCCAGTGCTTTGGGAGGCGGAGGTGGGAGGATCACTTGGAATTCAAGGTCAGCCTGGGCAACATAGCAAGATCCCATGTCTACAAGAACAAACAAATTAGCTGGGCATGGTGGTGTACCTGTAGTCCCAGCTACTCAGGAGGCTGAGGCAGGAGGATCACTTGAGCCCAGGAGTTTGAGACTGCAGTGAGCTATGATCGCGTCACTGCACTCCAGCCTGGGCGACAGAGACCTTGTTTATTAAAAAAAAAAAAAAGAAAAGAAAAGAAAAAGGGCCGGGCACAGTGGCTTATGTGTATAATCTCAGCATTTTGGGAGGCTGAGGTGGGAGGACCACTTGAGCCCAGGAGTTCCAGATCAGCCTGGGCAACATAGGAGACCCCCAAAATAAGAAAAAGTTAGCTGGGCATAGTGGCACGCTCCTGTGGTCCCAGCTACTCAGGAGGCTGAGGTGGGAGGATCGTTTAAGTCCAGGGAGGTTGAGGCTGCCATGAGCCATGATCACACCACTGCACTCTAGCCTGGGCAAGAGTGAGACCCTGTCTCTAAAAAAAAAAAAAAAAAGAAGAGAGTGAGAGGGCTGGGCACAGTGGCTCACGCCTGTAATCCCAGCACTTTGGGAGGCAAAGACAGGTGGATCACCTGAGGTCAGGAGTTTGAGACCAGCCTGACCAACATGGATGGAGAAACCCTGCCTCTATGAAAAATAAAATAAAATAATTAGCTGGGCCTGGTGGCAGGTGCCTGTAATTCCAGCTACTCAGGAGGCTGAGGCAGGAGAACTGCGTGAACCCAGGAGGCAGAGGTTGCAGTGAGCTGAGATCCCGCCATAGCACTCCAGCCTGAGTGACAAGAGCAAAACTCTGTTGCAAAAAAAGAAAAAGAGAGAGAGAATGGCCTTTATCACTTACCAGCTATGTGACCTCAGTCAGTGCTGGTCGAGTCCCATCCTGTTTCCACTGCGCCCTAGTTTCTTGCTGTGTAAAATGGGTTCACCGTAGGACCTGACAGGATTGTTGTGAGGACTGGATGAAACATACAAGGCAAGTGCTCAGCACAATGACTGGGCGGTAGGTTGTGTGAGCTAGCAGTGTAATCAAACACATCAAAACCGCAGGACAGGGCTTACTTCCATTTTTCATTCTCAGCAAGTGCAAAGGGGCTATCTCGGCTCTACGTCCTACTAAAATCCAACACAGGTTTGGGGTCTCTAGATTACCGCTCTGGCTTGCCTGATTAGGACAACCAGTGCTGGAAAAGAGGCCCCTCATAGGGATGTCCTGCTGGGATTTTCCTAGTCCACTTGGGTTCACACACGCTAACGGTAATCCAGTGAGGCTCATTAGCATCCCTTACCTCCCTTCCCACGAGAATGTTATGTCAGAAGGTGAAAAGGAAACTTTTTAAAGAGTTAACCAAAAAGGCAGCCCTCTCCTGTGGGCCATAACGGAGCTAACCGAGAAGGAGGAAGGGATGGTGTGGATGATTTCTTGGGGGGACTGTTCTGTTTTTGAAAGCGGTGGAGCATTCTGATTGACAATGGTGAGGGGCAGAGGGGCCGCAGTGAGAAGAAAAGGACAGGAGTGAGCCGTAGCATTACTCTAGCCAAACAGAGCCAGGAATCTCGCCAACGAGAAAGTGCAGGATTGGCAGCAACCGAGAGATCCCGCATGGACTTTTAGGAAAGATTCTAGGCCACAGCACGGGGCCTCCTCCGTCTCAGCCAGGATAATTCTGGCATCAGCCCCCGGCCCAGGCGTGTTCCCACATAATTGAAGTCGAATGTGCTGGGGGAGAGGCCTCCGCATTCCTCCTGGCTGTGGAATCCTCAGTGCCCTGCAGTTGGCCCTGTTTGGGATCAAAGCCAGTTCGTGTTGATTTTCCGCAGCATGGAAACAAATGCGACGAAGCTGTTTTCCTGAGGCAGGCATTTTGAAAAGAGGATCTTAATTTTTTTCCCCAAGGACAGGTGGGGTGGGGAGGTGGGGGAGTGCCACGTGGCTCCTCTCTTGCTGTCCCTTTTGCAAACAGTTGGGCTCATAGTGTCTGCATGAGCAGAAACTGATCAGTTAGAATATGAGTGAATACAGCTACAGCTAAGGTTGCTTCTATCACAAAAGATAATTCCTAAAAAATGCTGCCGGAAGACCCTCTGGCTGCGTGTGATAAGTCACAATTTGGTTGCTCTCTGTTGGAGTGTTTCCAAGATAGCAACTCTCCTTTTTCCTCCTAAAATTTTCTGCTTACATGTCTTAACTTCTAGGTCTTTCTCTGTAATCTGTTGTGCCTGTAAAATTAATTCCTGTCCCTTCTTTTTAGTTAGCACTGAAGCCTTTTAGTGCTAAGCATTATGCTAATGATGTAAACTGATACAGGCGAGTTTCTTAAGTTGTGGAAACATCTTTATTTATTTATTTTTTTTAGACAGAGTCTCGCTCAGCCGCCCAGGCTGGAGTGCAGTGGCGTGATCTCGGCTCACTGCAACCACCGTCTCTCTGGTTCAAGTGATTTTCCCGTCTCAGCCTCCTGAGTAGCTGGGATTACAGGCACCTGACATCATGCCCGGCTAATTTTTTGTATTTTAGTAGAGACAGGGTTTTGCCATGTTGGCCAGGCTGGTCTCAAACTCCTGACCTCAGGTGATCCGCCCGCCTCAGCCTCACAAAGTGCTGGGATTACAGGCATGAGCCACCGCACCCGGCCGGAAACATCTCATTCTTTTACAGGGGACTTGAGTTCTCCCAGTTCTCTAGGGAAAACCTGAACTTTTGCCTATTGGGCCATAATCAAGGGATTGAGAATTAGAACCAGGAGTTGATATAGCTGGGAGAGCAGTGGTGCGATCATAGCTCACTGCAAGCTCGAACTCCTGGGCTCCAGAGATCCTCCTGCCTTAGCCTCCTGAGTAGCTGGGACTACAGGCATGCGCCACCCCTGGCTAATTGTTTTTAATTTTTAGTAGAGACAAGGTCTATGTTGCCCAGGCTGGTCTTGAACTCCCAGCCTCAAGCGATCCTCTTATCTCGGCCTCCCAGAGTGTTGGGATGACAGGTGTGAGCCACAGCACCTAGCCTGGGCTCTTCCTTTTTAAATTAGGAAACACATGTACCAGGAAATCTGGTCTGGAACCTGCTGCTTCTTCTGGGCAAAAAAAATGGCAGAAGACATCCTCACAGAGGCCAAGTTGGAACTGTTTTTCCTATTTGGCATTTATGCTTAGTGCTGTAGATTTACTTTTACTTTTTTTTTTTTTTTTTTTTTTTGAGATGGAGTTTCACTCTTGTTGCCCAGGCTGGAGTGCAATGGCGCGATCTCTGGCTCACCACAACATCTGCCTCCTGGGTTCAAGCGGTTCTCCTGCCTCAGCCTCACGAGTAGCTGGGATTACAGGCATGTGCCACCATGCCCAGCTAATTTTGTATTTTTAGTAGAGATGGGGTTTCTCCATGTTGGTCAGGGTGGTCTCAAACTCCCAACCTCAGGTGATCCTCCTGCCTCGGTCTCCCAAAATGCTGGGATTACAGTCGTGAGACACCATGCCTGGCCTGCTTTTATCTTTTGAAAATACAACACCCAGGCTGGGCGTGGTGGCTCATGCTTGTAATCCCAGCACTTTGGGAGGCCAAGGTGGGTGGATCACTTGAGGTCAGGAGTTCGAGACCAGCCTGGCCAACATAATGAAACCCCGTCTCTACTGAAAACACAAAAATTAGCTAGGTGTGATGGTGGGGACCTGTAATCCCAGCTACTTGGGAGGCTGAGGCAGGAGAATCGCTTGAACCCAGGAGGCGGAGGTTGCAATGAGCCGAGATCCAGCCACTGCACTGCACTCCAGCCTGGGTGACAGGGCAAGACTTGGTCTCAAAAAAAAACCAAAACAAACAAACAAACAAAACACCCAGATTTATCCTGAGTGCTGTACACGTTCACGTTCTGGGATCTTGCATGTAATTTCACTCTTGGACTTCCCCTCCTGGACAAACCTCCCTGCATTTGTTTCAAGGCCATCTTGAGCTGGATCGGAAAGGAGTCTTGGGTCAGGGGATTTAGAAAAAGGTCTGAAAAGAAACAAAGCTGCTTCAGTTCACTTAGTAAGTGTGGTAATTAGCCTTAGAGTAACAAATGTTATCTGCACCAGTGCAGCTCCGTGCCAAGTACCAAAACCACATTTTCCAGATGATTCCAGTGAGTTTTTCACTCGAAGCAATTCAACATTAGGCCCTAAAGACGGCAATCATCTTGTACAAAACAAGATTGTTCATTTCTTCCTTTCATGCAGCAAGAATGCAAAATCCAGATTAAGAACCAACTGCAGAACCCCTTTCTTTCATGTCCTCCTAAGCTTCCAGAATTATAGGGAGAGACTACTCAATGTTCATGAAAAGCATACTAGCTACAATAATTCTGAAATTGTTTTGGCTTCTGGAAGTACAAGTTTCCAAATTAATGTCTGATAGACCCTATGGTCGTAAATGTCTGTGAACATGTGAGTTTCAGGAATACAAGGTAAAGAAAGGTTATCACTAAAACATGAAAAGATGGCCAGGCGTGGTGGCTCACGCCTGTAATCCTAGCACTTTGGGAGGCCGAAGCAGGCAGATCACTTGAGGTCAAGAGTTTGAGACCAGCCTGGCCAACAGGGCAAAACCCCATCTCTACTAAAAATACAAAAATTAGCCGGGCATGTAGTATGCACCTATAATCTCAGCTACTCAGGAGGCTGAGACACGAGAATCACTTGAACCCAGGAGGCAGAGGTTGCAGTGAGCTGAGATGGTGCCACTGCACTCCAGCCTGGGGGACAGAGCGAGACTCCATCTCAAAAAAAGAAAGAAAGAAAGAAAGAAGTTGTTGATTATGGCAATTAATCAGGATAAAGAGGCCAGCCCCCACTCCAGTAAAAATTAAAAGCCTTATGTAACTTCCCTGAAGTTCACTAATACCCAAATGCAAATAATGCTTTTCACTTGCTCCAGGGAGACTACAGAACAGGGTTTGGGGGAGGCCAGTGGGTGAGGGTGGGAGGTGCAAAATCAACTTCACCTTGCAGAGGAGAAGCAGACACTTGGCCTTGGCTCTAGGATAAAACTTGGGGTTCCTAAAGGACAGGCTTTTCTCCCTCTTACTGCTTCACTCTTTACTGTCAAAGCTATATCTGGGCCAGGCGCAGTGGCTCACACCTGTAATCCCAGCACTTTGGGAGGCCGAGGCAGGCAGATCACTAGAGGCCAAGAGTTTGAGACCAGCCCGGCCAACATGGCAAAAGCCCATCTCTACCAAAATACAAAATACAAAAAATACAAAAAATGGCTGAGCACAGTGGCTCATGCCTATAATCCCAGTACTTTGGGAGGCCGAGTAGGTGGATCACTTGAGGTCAGGAGTTCGAGACCAACCTGGCCAACACGGCAAAACCCCATCTCTACAAAAAATACAAAAATTAGCCAGGCATGGTGGTGTGTGCCTGTAATCCCAGCTACTTGGGATGCTGAGGCATGAGGATTGCTTGAACCCAGGAGGCGGAGGTTGCAGTGAGCTGAGATCGCGCCACTGCACTCCAGCCTGGGCAACAGAGTGAGGCTCTGTCTCAAAAAAAAAAAAAAAAGCTGCATCTGTTGGTGCAACCATTTTATAGGTATTCTGGGTCTCTATTTCAAGAATTTTCACAGGGAAGCATGAAAAGGACTGGCCAACAGAAAAGGTCTGCCACAGAATACTCGGTGGCTTCCTAAACTCGATTAAGGTGACAGCCTGGTCTCTGGGTAGTTTAAAGGACCCCCAGCACTGTTAAGGTGCAGCTGATTCTTAAGAGACTTTTAATTTCCCTTCTGCTGCCAAGAGAAGTGATGCAGCAGAGTCACTATGCAGCAGTTAATTCAGCTTTATCCTGGAGAAAATAAGAGTGACTTTTTCCTTTTTTAGATAAGCCCATGGCATCGCACAAGCCAAAATATGCCACCAGCCCAAGCAACGTGGCATCATGCATGGCAGCCAAATCTCATGGATGGTATTTGTAGCTTGTGGAGCCTGACTGTACTAGGAGAGGGGTTTCTAAACGATGACAGAAGGTTGTTCATTCGTGATTTGCCAAGTTCTCCACACTCTACTAGCTGGCTGTGGAAATCAGTTTCTCAGCCCTTTTGAGGAGGACAACTTTGCCATGCAAGCAGAGAGTGGGTAGTTGCTTCAGTGTTTATATATTGATCAATATATTCTAGCAAGTCACATTTATGACGGTTTCCCACCAAGAACAAACCCCCCCACCAAAACAATCTCAGCTTAGTGGGAAATAGTCTCAGGTGTAAAAATTGCTTTTAGTGGCTGGGTGCGGTGACTCACAACTGTAATCCCAGCACTTTGGGAGGCTGAGGCGGGTGGATCACTTGAGGTCAAGAGTTCGAGACCAGCCTCGCCAACATGACAAAACCCCATCTCTACTAAAAATACAAAAAATTAGCTGGGCATGGTGGCACATGCTATAAGCGCAGCTACTCGGGAGGCTGAGGCAGGAGAATCGCTTGAACCCAGCGGGTGGAGGTTGCAGTGAGCCAAGGTGGAGCCACTGCACTCCAGCCTGGGAGACAGAACAAGACTGTCTCAAAAAAAATAAAAAATAAAAAAATGTGCTTTTAGTTTGCAAGAGTTGTGTGCCTAGGACTTCCCTTGCCCAGTTCAGCTACTTTTCACTAGTTTGGGAACCTGGAAGAAGGGAGTGGAAAGATGAATAATCTAGATGCTCACTATATTGTTGAGGGTTTTTTTTTTTTTTTTTTTTTGAGACAAGGTCTGTTGCCCAGGCTGGAGTACAGTGGTATAATCACAGCTCACTGCAGTCTCGAACTCCTGGGTTCAAGCGATCCTCCCACCTCAGCCTCCCAAATAGCTGGGACTACAGGTGTGCAAGACCATGCCCGGCTAATCAAAAACTTTTATTATTATTATTTTTTTTGGTAGAGATTGGGTCTGGCCATGTTGCCCAGGCTGGTCTTGAACTCCTGACCTCAAGCATTCCTCCCACCTCAGCCTCCCAAAGTGGTGGGATTACAGATGTGAGCCACCGCACCCAACCAAGGGGCTGATTTTTACGTTGCTTTTTAAATCAAGGCCACTTTTTTTTTTTTTTTTTTTTTTTGAGATGGAGTCTCGCTCTGTCACCCAGGCTGAAGTGCAGTGGTGCAATCTCGGCTCACTGCAAGCTCTGCCTCCCGGGTTCATGCCATTCTCCTGCCTCAGCCTCCCAAGTAGCTGGAACTACAGGTGCCTGCCACCATGCCCAGCTAATTTTTTTTTTTGTATTTTTAGTGGGGACGGAGTTTCACCATGTTAGCCAGGATGGTCTCGATCTCCTGACCTCATGATCCGCCCGTCTCAGCCTCCCAAAGTGCTGGGATTACAGGCGCTGAGCCACTGTGCCCAGCCGACACTTTCTTAGATTATTAGAGACATGCTCCCAAGCAAATGTCAGTCAGAGACACACATTTCACACGGGGCAGAATAATTTCAAAGTTTGGCTATTTTAATTCAATTTCATTGTTCAAGGTAGTATGGGTATATTAAGTGGTTCATTTCCCTCCTGAAGAAAACAACTTCTGTCTGATGTGATTTTGTGAAATTCAAACATGACTCTTTGACTGTTTAAAAAAAAATTTTTTTTTCTTTACGTATCTTGGTAAGATTTTTTTTTTTTCTGGGACATATTTTTTGTAAACCTCCAAGTAGTTTGGAAACACTTGCCTATTTGCTCATTCCTCTGGGCACAGCCTTTCAGAGCATTTATCCCACCTGTACTGAAAAATCTGTTTTCCCAGGTGGTGGTGGGGCCACTGGATAGAAGGGATCACAGAGAAATGAGGAGTGAGCGAGCTTTGTAAACTACTTCTAATTCTCTTCATTAGTATGCTATGATCCACCCCAGCTTCTGCAAGGTCAGACATGCAAGACAAGTACTTGGCCAAAACAGCAGGATTCTAACTAGTGTAAAAATAGATTTTAAATAAAATAGAATCTCTATAGGAAAGAGAATTAGGTTATGCTTTACATTCCCACTCTTAAGATATCTGTATATATAAGTCCAAGAGAGACTCAAAGAGTTGGTCTGCCCTAAGTAAAAATTAAGAATGTCTGAGTACATTCATTTTGCAACATTACACGTAAAGTTTTTTGGGAAATGCTGCAGCACATCCCACAAAAACAGATGGTGATTAGTGATACAGTTGATGTGCTAACAAGTAACATGTAAGACATTTAGGTCAAAGGGGATGAGGCCTAATTACAGGCTAAAAACCTATTCTGAAATGTGATCATTTGAAAACCTGTGGCTAATTATAAAGCAAAAACTAAAACCTGTTGTTTAACAATACATCTTACTAACCTATCCCTCTACCTCTTCAAGAAACTAAATTCCAACACAGGTCTTATTTTAAGTTTGCTCAATTACTGCAGGTTATAAATTATTTGACATTTATGGTTCCAGAGAGAGTACACAGCCCCTCTGTTGGCCCACACAAGCGTTATATGACTGTTCTAAAGGGGGCTCTGTTGAAATTCTAATTTTAGGATTTAGAAACAGCTTTTGGTTATATCTTGAAAGCGTAATTGAAAATCTGCCCAAGCTCCCTCTAGCTGCAACCTGAACATGCAGCCCAATATTTTGTAAACATTTAGAAAATACTAAACCCAACAAAATACACAATTAGCTAGTCAGAGGCCTCACTCTACATTTTCACACGGATGAGAAATCTCCCCACTCAGTCTTGCTAGATGCTAGGATACCCACTCTGAGATTTGAGTTTGGGAACAGCCATTAAGCCTCCTCCTTAATTGCGGTTCATAATGATGTACGAAGTCACCAAAAATAAACAGTGGAGCTGCCACCATTTTTCCTACACTGAGTCTACCCAATGTGCCCCGGGTTGTTTGTTTTTCCTGGCTGGCCCCAGAGCAAGAAGAGATGACTGCTGGTAAAGAGCCAGGGCCTGGTTTACTACCAGGCCTCTTTTCAGATAACATTCAAGCAATTCTTCCACTCCCCAGAGGAAGGGGGAGATGATAATGATATGACACTATTGCTAGGGAGTTTTCATAACTCCTTAATAGCCAATGGAAACCTCTCTTTAAAGCAGCTGTTATGCCCTCAGAGAGGTTTGGTGCTTTAGTGCTAGATAACCTTACCTTTGAGGTTACAAGAAATAACTTAACATCTTAAACCTACCCCAGAACTGAATGTCAAATACGCCAACTCCATAAATACAATGGAAAAATGCACAGCAGAGTTGGGGCTTCTACCAAGCAGGAAGGCAAAATGGTCATTAGAATGTGAGGTTAGTGAACTCTTAAGACCTTTTCGAACGCAGCGCCTTTCTATCAGCTCTCCAGTCAGCACCCTTTACATTCACTACATCACACACTAGCAAATGAAAGAGCCAAACAACTGTGGCTTGATCCTCACTTGTACTTATTAGGGCCCACCCTCACATTTAGCTGAAGGTCCCAGCACACTCTCACAGTGTCAGGGAGAACAGTCTCAGGGATGTCTGTTGCTCTGAAGGTCACTTGCCCCTCTTGCTGCGGCCCTTCCTGGAGGGCAACTTCCCACTGCCCCCCGAAGAGGCAGGGCTCGAGGCCGAGGCCATGGCGATGTTGATCTGTCCCTCCTGGATTTCCTGCCGGGTCTCGGCAGGCAGATGGTTGATCTTCTGCTGTGTCTCCAGGTAGAACATGACGTCACGCAGCTGCTCCTGGATCTCGGTGATCTGCAGATCTTTTTGGTCACAGGTCTCCTTCAGCACCCTCTCCTCCTCTTTTAGCTTGTTCTGCAGGAGGACTTGGTTGGCTCGCAAACACTTGTTCATTTCCTGCTCCTCTTTGAGCTCGTTGGTGAGTTTGGCCACTTTTGTGTTTAGCTGAGTGCACCTTTTGAAAAACAAAGGAAGACAAAAGCACATTTTTCATTTGCTGACACAGTCCCCTTTCTGCTCTGGGATTGAACAGAGAAACCATGACCTCAGAATCCCTTTAGGACAGACCCCTTTCTCCCATCGTGAGGGAGAATGGTTTTCTGCCATCGCAATCAGCTATGCAAAGCAAGAATTTTGCTCTACTTAACACAAGTGTATTTTTTTTTGAGACGGAGTTTCGCTCTTGTTGCCCAGGCTGGAATGCAATGGCACGATCTCAGCTCACTGCAACCTCCACCTCCTGGGTTCAAGCGATTCTCCTGCCTCAGCCTCCCAAGTAGCTGGGATTACAGGCACCTGCCACTATGCCTGGCTAATTTTTGTATTTTGAGTAGATATTGGGGTTCGGCATGTTGGCCAGGCTGGTCTTGAACTCCCAACCTCAGGTGATCCACCTGTCTCGGCCTTCCAAAGTACTGGGATTACAGGCATGAGGCACTGCGCCAGTCCACAAGTGTATTATTTATTTATTTATTTTTTGAGATGGAGTCTCACTCTGTTGCCCAGGCTGGAATGCAGTGGCGTGATCTTGGCTCACTGCAACCTCTGCCGCTTGGGTTCAAGCGATTCTCCTGCCTCAGCCTCCTAAGTAGCTGGGATTACAGGTGCCTGCCACTGTGCCCAGCTAATTTTTGCATTTTTAGTAGCGACGGGGTTTCACCATCTTGGCCAGGCTGGTCTGGAACTCCTGACCTTGTGATCCACCCACCTTGGCCTCCCAAAGTGCTGGGATTACAGGTGTGAGCCACCGCGTCCAGCCCACAAATGTACTTTTAAGACACTTTTTTTTAAGCATCAGAAAGTTTTCAGTAGCAGAAACTATTCTGTGACTGACGGTAAAAATTCTACTGCTTCTTTGTTTTGCAGTCAGTGGTTAAATAGGTGCCTTCGAGATGATAGCTGTGATAAGGAAGTTATGAGGAAAAGTGGCATTCTTGGAGAGTCAAGTACTCTGACTTCATTGCATTTGCTGAAGGGGAAAAAAAGGGCACTTATTCTAACCAAAGGGCTTTAGACTTGGGAGTGCCCTATTCTTGATGTCCAGTCTTACTCATAAGTAAAGAATTGCAAATGAAACCACCATTTGAGGCCAGGTGCATTGGCTCATGCTTGGAATCCCAGCACTCTGGGAGGCTGAGGCGAGAGGATCGCTTCAGTAAATGAAACAGGAAATGAGTTCGAGACCAGCCTGGGCAACAAAGTAAGACCCTGTCTCTACACAAAATCAAAAAACTTAGCCAGGTGCAGTGGCGTGCACCTGTGGTCCCAGATTTACAGGAGGCTGAAGCTGGAGGATTGCTTGATCCCAGCAGGTCAAGGCTGCAGTGAGCTGTGTTCATGCTACTGCACTCCAGCCTGAGTGACAGAACGAGATCTTGTCTCAAACAAACAACCCATACCATCTGAGACCCAGCAGAGTGGCTCATGTCTGTAATCCCAGCACTATGGGAGGCAAAAGTGAGAGGGTCACTTTGAAATCAGCCCGGTCAACATAGCGAGACACCGTCTATACAAAAGAAAAATTAAAAAACTAGCTGGGTGTGGTGATGTGCACTTGTAGACCCAGCTACTTGGGAGGCTGAGGCAGAGGACTGCTTGAGCCCAGGAATTTGAGCCTGCAGTGGGCTGTGATTGCATCACTGCACTCCAGCCTGTCTGACAGAGTAAGACCCTGTCTCAAAAAAACAACAACAAAAACCAAAAACACTCACACACAAAAACCACGAACAAAAAAACCCCACTATTTGAGATACTATTTTTATGCATCAGAACACCCAAGAGCTGAGACATGAGAAAAGAGGCACTTACACACTAGCACTGGAGCATGAACTGGTATAAACTCTTTCGAAGACAACTTGGCAATATCTATAAAAACAAAAAATTTGGGCCAGGCACGGTGGCTCACGCCTGTTATCCCAGCACTTTGGGAGGCCGAGGAGGGTGGATCACGAGATCAGGAGTTCAACATCAGCCTGGCCAACATGGTGAAGCTCCGTTTCTACTAAAAATACAAAAATTAGCCGGGTGTGGTAGCGTGTGCCTGTAATCCCAGCTACTCGGGAGGGTGAGGCAGGAGAACTGCTTGAACCCTAGAGGCGGAGGCTGCAGTGAGTCGAGATCGTGCCACTGCACTCCAGCCTGTGTGACAGAGCAAGATTCCGTCTCAAAAATAAATAAATAAAAACAAAAAATTTGCATGCCCTTTGACACAGCTATTTTACTTCTAGGAATTTATACCATAGAATAGATATACTCAGGATTAGGTAAAAAGAGACATGGAGGAAGATGCTCATTACAGTATTGCTTATAGTAGTGTGAGATTTGACACAACTTGACACAATCAATAGGAACCTGGTCAAAATCATTATGCAGGCCAGGTGCAGGGCTCATGCCTATAATCCTAGCATTTTTGGAGGCCAAGACAGGATCAAGGAGGAGGATCACTTGAGGCTAAGAGTTCAAAACCAGCCTGGGCAATATGGCAAGACCCCGTCTCTACAAAAAAATTTTCAATTGGGCAGACATGGTAGCACACACCTGTAGTCCTAGCTACTCAGGAAGCTCAGACTAGGAGGACCACTTGAGCCCAGTAGCTGGAGGTTGCAGTGAACTATGATTACGCCACTGTACTCTGGCCTAGGCAACACAGCAAGACCTTATTTCAACAACAACCACCACAACAGAAATCATTATAGTACATCCATACAATTAAACAGCATGCAGATGTTACAAAGATCAGGATAGATTTAGATGTGCTAGTATGAAAAAAAATCCAAAAACATATTTTATCAAAAAGAATACCTAGATTCTATTTTTGCAGAGAAAAGATTATGCATGTGAGATATTTATGTGGGCAGAGCTAAACATCTAGAAGAAGAAATATTCACTGGTACTGGTTAATAATGGTTAACACTAGATAGCAGGATCTAGAGGGTGAAAAAGAACTTCCAGTTTTTGCAGGGTGTGGTGGCCCATGCCTGTAATGGTAAAACAGTCTCTGCAAAAAATTAGCCAGAGGCCAAGCACGGTGGCTCACGCCTGTAAAACCAGCACTTTAGCAGGCGGATCACCTGAGGTCGGGAGTTTGAGACCAGACTGACCAACATGGAGAAACCCTGTTTCTACTAAAAATACAAAATTAGCCACGCATGGTGGTGCATGCCTGTAATTCCAGCTACTTGGGAGGCTGAGGCAGGAGAATTGCTTGAACCCCGGAGGCAGATGTTGCAGTGAGCCGAGATCACACCATTGCAGCCTGGGCAACAAGAGCGAAACTCCGTCTCAAAAAAAAAAAGAAAAAAAGAAAAAAAAATTAGCCAGGGGTGGTGGTGCACAGCTGTAGTCCAGTTACTTGGGAGGCTGAGGTGGGAGGATCACCTGAGCCTAGGGAGGTGGAAGATGTAGTGAGCTGGCCGAACACAGTGGCTCAAGGCTGTAATCCCAGCACTTTGGGAGGCTGAGGAGGGCGGATCATGAGGTCAAGAGATCGAGACCATCCTGGCCAACATGGTGAAACCCCGTCTCTACTAAAAATCCAAAAATTAGCTGGGTGTGGTGGTGTGCTCCTGTAGTCCTAGCTACTCGGGAGGCTGAGGCAGGAGAATCACTTGAATCCGGGAGGCGGAGGTTGCAGTGAACTGAGATCGCTCCACTGTACTCCAGCCTATTGCGCCACTGCACTCCAGCCTGGCGACAGAGCAAGACTCTCTCTAAAAATAAAGATGGGCTGGGCACGGTGGCTCACGCCTGTAATCCAAGCACTTTGGGAGGCCAAAGCGGGTGGATCATGAGGTCAAGAGATCGAGACCATCCTGGCCAACATGGTGAAACCCCGTCTCTACTAAAAATACAAAAATTAACTGGGTGTGGTGGTGTGCTCCTGTAGTCTTAGCTACTCGGGAGGCTGAGGCAGGAGAATCACTTGAATCCGGGAGGCGGAGGTTGCAGTGAACTGAGATCGCTCCACTGTACTCCAGCCTATTGCGCCACTGCACTCCAGCCTGGCGACAGAGCAAGACTCTGTCTAAAAATAAAGATGGGCTGGGCACGGTGGCTCACGCCTGTAATCCAAGCACTTTGGGAGGCCAAAGCAGGTGGATCATGAGGTCAGGAGATCGAGACCATCTGGCTAACACGGTGAAACCCCATCTCTACTAAAAATACAAAAAAATTAGCTGGGCATGGTGGCAGGCACCTGTAGTCCCAGCTATTGGGAGGCTGAGGCAGGAGAATGGCGTGAACCCGGGAGGCGGAGCTTGCAGTGAGCCGAGATCGCGCCACAGCACTCCAGCCTGGGCAACAGAGCGAGACTCCGTTTCAAGAAAAAAAAGATGTAGTGAGCTAAGGTTGTGCCACTGTACTCCAGCCTGGGTGACAGGGAAAGACCCTGTCTCCAAAACAACAACAACAACAACAAAAAAAACCCGTCCGGTTTTTACTTTGTATTCTTTAACACAGTTGTTCAATTTGTTAGGGTGCTGAAAGTATAGGGTAATTTTTAAGTTTTACGTCTATTAATTTTGTAGTGTTGTTTTTACAATAGCTTAACAAAATTTTATTTTTGTTGAGACAGGGTCTCGCTGTTGCCCAGGCTGCAGTGCAGTGGTGAGATGTTGGCTCACTGCAGCTTCTGCCTCCCAGACTCATGTGATCCTCCTACTTCAGCCTCCTGAATAGCAGGGACTACAGGTATGCGCCACCATGCCCAGCTCATTTTTGTATTTTTAGTGGAGATGGGGTTTTACCATGTTGTCCAGGCTGGTCTTGAATTCCTGGGCTCAAGCAACCTGCCTGCCTCAGCCTCCCAAAGTGCTGGGATTACAGGCGTAAGCCACCATGCCTGGCTGGTAATTTCAATCAGTAGCAACTATCTTCCCAAATAACAGTAAATAAGGAATGTTATCGCCATGCTGTTCATGAGTTTTTTGCTCCATATTCAACATCTCTTGCCTTTAACTCCTGCCCAAGGCCACAGCATAGAACATCTCCAGCTTAGACACAGTCTCGTTCCTAACTGCCAGTTCTCAGCCACAATGGCTCAAAGAAGCCGAAGGCTCTGGATGGAAGAAAATTGCTTTCCACAGGCAAAAATGGAAGATATCTGCACACACTGCAAGTGCACAGACATCAGAAGAGAGCACTGCATTCCACATGGCATCCATCTGGTATGAAACCCCGCATTTTTTAATAAACGAGAAGCCTGTTCCATATATAGGGAGACTCCTGAAAACCTGGTGATACATATATTTGAAAATGAGGGTGTTTCCATAGGAATGAAAGAAACTGTCTGTTTATAGAGCCTGTTACAACAGAATAGACCGATTATACCTACTTTCTTTCCACAGACTGCTTTTCTTTTAGGAGATCATTTAGTTTGTGCTCTAGATTATCACACTTCTCAATTGTTTCTTTAAACTTGGTCTTCATGTTGTTAATCTGAAAGAGCAAAGAGAAATCAGATTCATTTCACAAAGGTAATGTGGTGTGCTCTTTGGGACCAACATCATATTTTTCCCCCCAATTATCTGTATATAACTTTGACAAACCAAAATTAGAGAAGGTGAGATATGGCAGTTTCCAGGCAGGGGAAAAAAATAAAGAAAAGGTGAGGTAATCATTTGAAAGAATTTCTGTAATAGGATTAAAAATGCCGGGAAATCTTTTTTTTTCTTTTTTTGAGCCAGAGTCTCGCTCTGTCGCCCAGGCTGGAGTGCAGTGGGATGATCTTGGCTCACTGCAACCTCCCGCTCTTGGGTTCAAGCAATTATCCTGCCTCAGCCTCCCAAGTAGCTGGGACTACAGGTGCCTGCCACCACGCCCGGCTAATTTTTGTATTTTTAGTAGAGACAGGGTTTCATCATGTTGGCCAGGCTGGTCTCGAACACCTGACCTCAGGTGATCCACCTGCCTCGGCCTCCCAAAATGTTGGGATTACAGGCGTGAGCCACCGTGCCCGGCCTAATTTTTCTATTTTTTAGTAGAGATGCCACGTTGGCCAGGCTGGTCTCAAACTCCTGACCTCAAGTGAGGCTTGCCTCGGCCTCCCAAAGTGCTGGGATTACAGGCATGAGCCACTGCGCCTGACCTAATTTTTGTATTTTTTGTGGAGACAAACATTGGTAATCTAAGAAACTTGTGACACTTGACTCTAGTTGTTTATTTTTTCCAATTCACAATATTTTTTTCATGTATCATGAAGCCACATGGAGTATAAGCAGTCCATGTTCTTTTGAGTCTATTTATAAAAACAATATACATAGACTAATTCATATTACACAGCCTTAAAAACATAAGAGAATTAAAAAATTCTGATGTATAACATATCAGACGGCAGCCATCCCAGCCCAGAGTATGTTGGAGTCTGGCTAGGTAGATACTGGATCCACTCCTGTGTGAAGATCTGCGAACTTGGGAATTTCCTCAACTCCACTGGTCTAAGGACACCAGCAAAAGATTTGGTGGGAAGGCAAAGTCAGGAGGCTGGGTGAACCACAAGGCAATATAACAGGAACTGAAAGTGGCTGAGAATTTAAGTCATACAGCCCAGGGATCAGCTAGACCTTTCTTTTTAATCATTTTCCATACAGCCTGCCTAGCAAGTCTCTAATAGCACTAGCTTTAATAATAATAATAATAATAATAATAATAATAGGCCGGGCATGATGGCTCACGCCTGTAATCCCGGCATTTTGGGAGGCCGAGACGGGTGGATCACGAGGTCAGGAGTTCAAGACCAGCCTGGCCAAGATGGCGAAAGCCCGTCTCTACTAAAAATACAAACATTAGTCGGGCACAGTGGCAGGCGCCTGTAATCCCAGCTACTCAGGAGGCTGAGGCAGGGAGCGGCTTGAACCAGGGAGGTGGAGATTGCAGTGAGCCAAGATCACACCACTGCACTCTAGCCTGGGAGACAGAGCAAGACACCATTACAAAAAAAATACAATACAATACAATAAAAATAAATGTTTTGTTCAAATTAACTTTATAGCCAACCTCCACTGGAAGAACATGGAAGAAAGATTTCTTTTCTTTTTTTTTTTTTTTTTTTTGAGACAGAGTCTTGTTCTGTCACCCAGGCTGGAGTGCAATGGCGCTATCTTGGCTCACTACAACCTCCAACTCCCGGGTTCAAGCAATTCTCCTGCCTCAGCCTCCTGAGCAGCTGGGACTACAGGTGCATGCCACCACGCCCAGCTAATTTTTGTATTTTTAGTAGATACGAGGTTTCACCATATTGGCCAAGCTGGTCTTGAACTCCTGACCTCATGATCTGCCCGCCTCGGCCTCCCAAAGTGCTAGGATTACAGGCATAAGCCACCACGCCTGGCTGGAAGAGAGATTTCTAAATGTACTTCTCTGTCATAAAAATCAAAATAGATTTAAAATCGCTCAAATTCTAGTTAGGTATTAATTTTCTCTTCAATATTATTTTAAAATAACAGAGCACTAGATCCTTTTGAAATTTTCTTCTAAACTGACTCCTGTCAGTTTAAGGAAGTTGAAAAGGACAGAAATTACTATCCTAAGGAACCAAACTGTACATGTCTTGGACAGTAAAGATACTTAAGCCAAACACATTTAAATCAAGATGAAAATATAAAGGTAACCCTACAAAGGTTGGTTGGTTTGTTTTTTGAGATGGAGTCTCACTCTGTCGCCCAGGCTGGAGTGCAGTGGTGCAATCTCGGCTCACTGCAAACTCCGCCTCCTGGGTTCATGCCATTCTCCTGCCTCAGCCACCTGAGTAGCTGGGACTATGGGCACCCGCTACCACGTCCAGCTAATTTTTTGTATTTTTAGTACAGACGGGGTTTCTCTGTGTTAGCCAGGATGGTCTAGATCTCCTCACCTTGTGATCTGCCTGCCTCGGCCTCCCAAAGTGTTGGGGTTACAGGCATTAGCCACTGCGCCTGGCCAGAAAGGTTCTTAATATTGCTACAGACAAATGTTAACAACGATTTAAATTAGTGCTTATTAAAACATTTCTGGTCCAGTGCCATGGCTCACGCCTGTAATCCCAGCCCTCTGGGAGGGCCGTGGCAGAAGGTTTGCTTGAGCCCAGGAGTTGGAGATCAGCCTGGGCAACATAGTAAGATTCCCCCATCTCTCTCTCTTTTTTTTTGAGATGGCGTCTCGCTCTGTTGCCCAGGCTGGAATGCAGTGGCGTGATCTCAGCTCACTGCAACTTCCGCCTCCCTGTTCAAGTGATTCTCTTGCCTCAGCCTCCTAAGTAGCTGGGACTACAGGCACGTGCCACCAAGCCTGGCTAATTTTTTGTATTTTTAGTAGAGATGGGATTTCACCGTGTTAGCCAGGATGGTCTCAATCTCTTGACCTCATGATCCGCCCGCCTTGGTCTCCCAAAGTGCTGGGAATTACAGGCGTGATCCACTGTGCCCGGCCAACCCCCCGATCTGAATAAAATTTTTTTTTTAAATCAGCCAGGCACAGTGGCACCCTCCTGTGGTCCCAGCTACTAGGGAGACTGAGGTGGGAGGATCGCTTGAGCATGAGAGGCTGAGCCTGAGGCTGCAGTGAGCTGTAATGGTGCCACTACATTCTAGCCTGGGCAACAGAGTGAGATCTTATCTCAAAAAACAAATGAAAAATTCTGATCATTAGCCCACAGTAAGAAACACCCATGACACACACAAAAGTGAAATGAGTTTCACAAAACAATATTAATTGTACTACATCCTAATATTTACATCTACACTATTTTATCTAATAAAAATGCTAGTTGTGGTCCACCAAACTCATTTTACAATCCACAGCTGGAAAAATACTGATTAAAATGGAGCTAGACATCCACAAGAAAAGATATACTTTTAGAGGAGGTCACCTTATGACTGCCTCTGCCTACCATGTGTTCCTCATACATGGCCATGAAAACTAAGAACCTTTGAATGTCTGTGAGCTTCATCTTCTAGAATAGGCTGTGCTCACATGCTATAATAACGGCACTACCTAAGGCACTGGGGGAAAGAAACAGTGTTTATAACTGAAGCCCACAATGAATTTCAACCTTGATCCACACCCCTCCTCCACATCAACAGAAGGCCCACAAACAAGAATCTCTGTCAGTGAAACCCAGGGTCCGGGTTACTGTTTCTCCCTGAACATGTTCTACTGCTGGGGGTGCTAACGGACAAGGGACTGGCCAAAAGGAGGACCGTGGCAGAACAAAAGGCTTGCATCATCCATTAACTTATGGATAAACGACATTTGTTACTAGAAAACAAAAGCATCCTTTTAAGCACCCCAAGCGTTTTATTTAGAGCTGCTCTGGCTTCCATTTTACCCTGACCTAAAAGCAAACATAAGTTTCAGTGTTTCGTTTTCCTGCCCCTTGACTTGCTTTTCAATCCTAGAGGGCAGAGAGAATCCTGAGCTTAGCTTCAAGGGTCTGGATGAAGCACTTGAGGTAGTCACACTGGTATATCCCATGGAAAAACCCATGAGTGCAGCTGCAGTGGAGCTGCCAATGCACTTCCCGTGAGCCAACTTCACAGTACGCGGCAGCGACCTGCGCTCTGCTCCAACGAGAGCATTGGGAGGTGGTCCTCCCTGCACATACTCTAATCAAGGCCTATTCAGAACTAGCAAAGTCAAGTGACCTTGAGTGCCACTGGAAGGGCACATGCATTGATTAGAAGGCTCTTGTAAGAAGTTCATCAATAACTTTTAACTGCAGATCATTTTAAAACTGACTTTTTTTTTTTTTTTTGAGACAGAGTCTCGGTCTGTTGCTCAGGCTGGAGTGCAGTGGTGCAATCTTGGTTCACTGCAACCTCTGCCTCCTGGGCTCCAGCAATTCTCCTGCCTCAGCCTCCTGAGTAGCTGGGATTACAGGCGCCTGCCACCACGCCCGACCAGTTTCTGCATTTTCAGTAGAGATTGGGTTTCGCCATGTTGGCCAGGCTGGCCTCAAACTCCTGACCTCAAGTGATCTGCCTGCCTCGGCCTCCCAAAGTGCTGGGATTACAGGTGTGAGCCACTACACCTGGCCTAAAGCTGATGTTAAGCATTAATTTTTACAGACCTTGATTTTGCCCACTTACGGCATATCCAGAAACTGGGGCCCATGGCCCTGCCTGCTAAGCTCCAGGATATTCCTAGCCACCTCAGAGGTGGGCCCCAAGCCCAGCTCTGTACTGCCTATCTGAAGGCCCAAGGATAGGTGGGGACTCACAAGGTTACTAAAGTAATCATTGAGAAATTTTACAAGATTTTATTTCATACTAAGGGAATCACTGAATTACAAACACTGTCCCTAGGTCCAAAGAAAGGTTCCTAGAGCCATAATTATACACAATTATACACAGATGCTTACTAGTTTTCAGACTACCTTCTTTGGAAGTCACAGGGTTCCTTGCACATACTGGAGACAGAGCTCTGGGCCTTCCATCTGAGTTTCCACCAAAATCATACCACTTTTTAATTTTGCTAAAGTAGTGAATGGCATCTTTTTTAAAGGACTATTTTGTTAAAATTTGAAAACTGCTGCCCTAGACCTTCAGGGTGAATAATGAAGTGCCAGTATCTCTGCCCAATTTTATTTCCTTCCATTTAGAAAGGCTCTGCGCCATTTCATTGCCTTAGAAGTTCATGTTTAGCTCCCAAAGGCAGCGGTTCCCAAGTGCCTAACTCAAATGACAAACCCTCAGGTAGATACTTCTATGTTTTTAGTGGAACTTCACAAGGCACTAGAAAACCAGACTGAGGTTTAAAAAAAAAAAAAAAAAGCAAACAAAACCCCCTAAGACCCCAAAATATCAAAACAGTCAAGCCTTTAAATCCAAAGTTTCTTTTTAGTGGCAAAACAGTTCTCCACCTATTACCTGCCTGAGAAGGGAAGATGGTAAGATTCCTCTTTCCCTGTACTCTGCCTTCCACACCCCCCATCAGAGTGCCCTGCCATGTGTCATTTCCGCAGTCACCCAAACCAAACAGACTTACTTCCTCTGCTGTGTCCTTCTCTATCCGAACTATCTTGTTTTCCCAGTAGATTCGCTGAGATTCCAGCTGGCTTGTTAGTAAATATGAATACTAGAAACATAGAGAATAAAGACCAAAATGTAAGTCACTGTTGTCAGCCTCTGAAATCCAATTTAAAAATCTGATATTTAATGATCCACAGAAAACTAAAACTAACCAACAGAATGTATATTTACGCCCTGGTTCTACTCTACTCAATATATACTGGACCAGGGGACACAAATGACATTATGCTTCTGTCTTCCTGGGGCTTACAATCTAGTCAGAATAAATGTACTTATAAAAACCTTTATTCTGGTCAAGCTGACTTTAAGAAGAACCACAGTGGTTTTAAATCTATGTATAACTCAAATAAACTTACCTGTCTCCCTGACCCCATGAAGCAGTCCTGTCCCATCCTGTCCCAACCAGCACTTGAGTCAGGCACCCCCTGACTGATAGCACTGTGCCTATCAGTAACAGCACTCAGGACAGCAGCACTTCATCACCAGTTTACCTGCCTGTCTCCCTGACTGGACTGTGAACTCTTTGAAAGCAAGGGTTATATCTCTACTGCTGTATCTCCAGTGCCTGGCACATGGTGGATGTCGAGAATTGTTTGCTGCATGACTGCATGAATGAATGAACAGTGCTGTGTAACCACAGGGAAGGGACAGATGGCGTATGACAGTAAGATGTGAGAGAAGGCGAGATTTGAGAGGGTGCTGACAGATAGAAGAAGAACAGATAAAGACAGAGATCCGAGTCCAGAGAACTACTTGACCAAGACAGAGCTGTGGACATTAGAATCTCTTCAGAAATGAATGAGTAACACTAATGAGGCTGTTGTAACACTAATGTGCCAGGTTAGGAGATATGGCACCAGTGGAAGGCTTTGGGGTATTATAATATTGACAAATATGGGCAATGGGGAACCCAAGGCCAAGGAGTGGCAAGGTCACATCTCCATTTTGGAAAAACCATTCTAGAAGACTAGAAGAGATATAAACATGTCTGCAGACTACAGAGAGGGCAAGGAGAAGAACACCTATGCTACTGAACCCTAAGCTCCATGAGAGCAGGGAGTTTGTTCAATACTGTGTTTGCAGCACTAGCACCAGTGGCTGACAGCAAAGATTTTTCTTTTTTCTTTCTTTTTTTTTTGTTTAAAACTGGGTCTCATTCTGTTGCCCAGGTTGGAATGCAGTGGTGCAATCACGACTCACTGCAACCTCAACCTCTTGGGCTCAAGGGATCCTCCTGCCTCAGCCTCCTGAGTAGCTGGAACTACAGGTGCATGCCACCACACCTGGATAATTTTTTTTAAAATTTATTTTTAGTGGAGACAAGGCCTTGTTATGTTGCCGAGGCTGGTTTCAAAATCCTGAACTCAAGCGATCAAGCCTTGCCCTCCTGAAGTGGTGGGATTACAGGCATAAGCCACCATGCCTGGCCAATAAATATTCCTTTCTTTTTGGAGACGGAGTTTCGCTCTTGTCGCCCAGGCTGGAGTGCAATGGCGCCATCTGGGCTCACTGCAACCTCCGCCTCCCAGGTTCAAGCGATTCTCCTGCCTCAGCCTCCCAAGTATCTGGGATTACAGGCGCCCACCACCACACCCAACTAATTTTTGTATTTTTAGTAGAAGTGGGGTTTCACCATGTTGGCCAGGCTGGTCTCAAACTCCTGACCTCAGGTGATCCACCCACCTCAGCCTCCCAAAGTGCTAGGATTACAGGCATGAGCCACTGTGCCCGGCCAGTATTTCTTGTATGAATAGAATGCATGTACATACTTAATGTGGAGGATTTACTAATTCTAAATACTTAAAAGTGTTTGATCTTTATTAATACAATGATTTATTAATAACGATATAAAACTCATTTTAGGCCATTTTACTATCAGACCTTTAAGAGTCTTGAAATGAGCAAGTTTTCAAATGTCCACTTCCTCCTAAGGTTAAGGTATGTTTCTAAAACAACATTTTTTGAAATTTATATAAAACATGACTCGTGGCCGGGTACGGTGGCTCATGCCTATAATCCCAGCACTTTGGGAGGCTGAGGCAGGCGGACCACGAGGTCAGGAGATCGAGACCACCCTGGTTAACACAGTGAAACCTTGTCTCTACTAAAAATACAAAAAATTAGCTGGGCATGGTGGCACACACCTGTAGTCCCAGCTACTCGGAAGGCTGAGGCAGGAGAATCGCTTGAACCCGGGAGGCAGAGGTTGCAGTGAGCCAAGACTGCACCACTGTACTCTAGCCTGTAGCTACGGGAAAACAAATCTTAACACTGAACTTGAGACAACTACAGACATCACAATGAAAGTAACAAGGCACAGTGAAACTTAGACTTTTTTTTTTTTTTTGAGACAGGGTCTTGCTCTGTCACCCAGGCTAGAATGCAGTGGCACAATCTCAGCTCACTGCAACCCCTGCCTCCCAGGTTCAAGAAATTCTGGTGCCTCAGCCTCCCAAGTAGCTGGGATTACAGACATGAACCACCACGCCCAGCTAATTTTAGTAGGGACAGGGTTTCACCATGTTGGCCAGGTTGGTCTTGAACTCCTGATCTCAGGTGATTCGCCTGCCTCAGCCTCCCAAAGTGCTGGGATTACAGGGGTGTGAGCCACTGCACCCAGCTGACATTTAGACTTTCAAAGAAGAAAAACAGAATAAAAATATTTTAATAACACCTCACAGCAATGACCAAACATTTTTTTTTTTTTTGAGACAGAGTTTCGCTCTTGTTGCCCAAGCTGGAGTGCAATGACCCGATCTCGGCTCACTGCAACCTCTGCTTCCCAGGTTCAAGCGATTCTCTGCTTCCCGGGTTCAAGCGATTCTCCTGCCTCAGCCTCCCGAGGAGCTGGGATTACAGGTGTGTGCCACCATGCCCAGCTAATTTTTTGCATTTTTAGTAGAAACAGGGTTTCACGTTAGCCAGGCTGGTCTTGAACTCCTGAACTCAGGTGATCCACCTGCCTCAGCCTCCCAAAGTGTTGGGATTACAGGCATAAGCCACTGCGCCCGGCCATGACCAAACTTTAAAAAAAAAATGTACATCCAGGTAAATGACAAATATTTCAAATTAGAATAGTAAAGAGCAGTAGAAACAGATAGAGTGATAACTCATTAAATCTCTTACCTCTAACTGTAAGGCATCTATTTTCTCTTCCTGGCAAGTATCCCCCTCACATTCATACTGTACTATTTTTCCATCTGTTTTACTTGCAACCAGTCGATGAACATAGTTATCTACAGAAAGAGTCAACAAAAGTGTGTTTCTTTAGAATGAAAAGGGTCTCTGTACACTTTTAACTCTGACAAAATTTTTTTTTCAGATCTAATTTAAATGCCTTACAATATTTCTTTAAAAGTGTCAAATCATTTGAATTTTAGAGGGGAGGGAGAAAGCAAGAATGGAAGTATTAACTCCCTTTATAATGTGTGATTCAAGACATTCCTAGAAAAATAGTGCCCTCAGGGAAACTGAGAATTTGGGTTTGCAACAGCTGTCAAAAGATGACATTTCAAGCTGGGAGGGAAAGTGAAGGCGTTGTGAAGGCAAAGTTTCCACACAGAATGAGTCCAAATTAGAAAAGAGAGTGGTATTCACCTCCAGCATAGTCCCAGACTCGATGGTTGGTAAGCTGCATGGCATACGTGTGCTGCGTTTCCTCAAAGTGCTTATAAGCATGTCGACTGACATACCGTCCACATCCTATGTGGCCGCATATTAAACAAATCCAAAGATTCTGCCGGAAGAGGTAAGATCTTAATTAGTTAAATAAAAATAAATGATCTGGCTGGGCGCGATGGCTCGGAGGCCGAGGCAGATGGATCACCTGAGGTCAGGAGTTCGAGACCAGCCTGGCCAACATGATGAAACCCCATCTCTACTAAAAATACAAATATTAGCTGGGCGTGGTGGCAGCTGCCTGTAATCCCAGCTACTCAGGAGGCTGAGGCAAGAGAATCGCTTGAACCCAGGAGGTGGAGGTTGCAGTGACCCGAAATCGTGCCACTGCACTCCAGCCTGGGTGATAAGAACAAGACTCTGTCTTAAAACAAACAAACAAACAAATAATCGATCCAGCTCACTCAGAGTGGGAAGGAACCTGAGACACTAGAAGACAGAATTGTTGGTTGGGCACAGTGGCTCACACCTGTAATCCCAGCATTTTGGGAGGCTGAGGCAGGAGTATCGCTTGAGCCTAGGAGTTTAAGACCAGCTTGGGCAACATAGCAAGACCCCAACTCTACAAAATGTTTTTTTTGTAGAAAAAACAAAAACAAAATTTTTTAGAAAAAACAAAAACAAAACAAAACAAAACCTACTAGGCCATGGTGGCATGCACCTGTGGTCCCAGCTGCTTGGGAAGATGAGATGGGAGGAAGGCTTGAGCCCAGGTATTTGAGGTTACAGTGAACTATGATCATGCCACTGCACTCCAGCCTGGGTAACAGAATGATACCCTGTCTCAAAAAAAAAAGAAAAAGAAAAAGAAAAAACTGTTTCTACAGGAGCCTGAGTGATTAAATGTATGTTTAAAACCCAACAATCAAGGATGCTTTTATGGGTCATTTTTTTTTTGCTGATTTCTAAGGAGCACTATGTGAACAGCAAGAAAAAAATTCACAATTCATCAGTAAAAGTCTAAGCCTTTCAAAAGTGCAAAGAAAAAAGGAATAAATTTAGCTCAGGAGTAACATAATTTGTGTATTCATATGTCTTGCCCAACCCTAGACAAAAAGAAAAAAAATTTTAAAGAATTTAGGCTGGGTGCAGTGGCTCACACTTGCAATCCCAGCACTATGGGTGGCTGAAGTGGAAGGACCGCTCGAGGCCAGGAGTTCGAGACCAGCCTGGGCAACACAGTAAGCCCTGTCTCTTAAAATAAAAAATAAAAAATAAATTAAAAATAAAGAACTTAAGTCATACCAGGCAGAAGAAAACTCATGACAATTAAAGCTGCATTCTTTGTTCTTTTCCATCACCCATTACTTACTTCCTGAACACCACACTCAAAACACTTATTTTCTTCTACTGGCTCGGGCGTTTGACAGTACCGGCAAACAGGACACCTATCCAGGACACCAAAAGATAATGGTGCAGGTTAAATATAAAAGACAGCTGTTACAGAACCCAAAAGTCAAACACTGGATTTTATATCCTCCTCCTCTTATATGCTATTTTTATCATAACTAAGGATATCACTTAAAATAAAATATACAAAATAAAAATATACAAAATCTTGATAAAACAGAGAACAGAGAAATTGGGATCTGCCTCATGTCCTTTTCCGCTCTTATGTCTAAAGCTTAGATGATCAAAGAGCTAAGTATTTACAGGTTACAATTAGGACTTCATTTCATGTCTGATTATTTATAATTTTTTTTTTTTTTTGAGACAGAGTCTTGCTCTGTTGCCTGGGCTGGAGTGCAGTGGTGCGATCTCAATTCACTGCAACCTCTGCCTCCCAGGTTCAAGCGATTCTCCTGCCTCAGCCTCCCGAGTAGCTGGGACTACAGGCATGCACCACCACACCCAGCTAATTATTGTATTTTTGGTAGAGACGGGGCTTCACCATGTTGGCCAGGATGGTCTCGATCTCTTGACTTCATGATCCACTGGCCTTGGCCTCCCAAAGTGCTTGGATTACAGGTGTGAGCCACAGCTCCCAGCTTGTTTTTTTTTTTTTTTTTGAGACAGAGTTTAGCTTTTGTTGCCCAGGCTGGAGTGCAACGGCATAGTATCAGCTCACTGCAACCTCAGCCTCCTAGGTTCAAGCAATTCTCCTGCCTCAGCCTCCTGAGTAGCTGGGACTACAGGCATGCGCCACCACGCCCAGCTAATTTTGTATTTTTAGTAGAGACGGGGTTTCTCCCTGTTGGTCAGGCTTGTCTCAAACTCCCAACCTCAGGTGATCTGCCTGCCTTGACCTCCCAAAGTACTGGGATTACAGGCGTCAGCCACCGTGCTCAGCCTATAATGTATTTTTACTCCAACAAACAACCTGCCTTATCCCCATTTCCCAAAGATTTAAATCATTCAAAAAGTACCCTTTCTTCTCCAGGTTGCTCCTAAGAATTGGATTTAAAATCTGTAGTAAAAAAAAAAGGTTTTTTTTTTTTTTGTGAGACAGAGTCCTGCTCTGTCACTCAGGCTAGAGTGCAGTGGCGCGATCTCAGCTCACTGCAGCCTCTGCCACCCAGGTTCAAATGATTCTCCTGCCTCAGCCTCCCAAGTAGCTGGGATTGTAGGCATGCACCCCCATGCCCAGCTAATTTTTGTATTTTTAGTGGGCATAGGGTTTCACCATATTGGCCATGCTGGCCTCCCAAAGTACTGGGATAACAGGCATGAGCCACCGCACCTGGCTAAACACAAAGGTGTTAATGTACTTATTGAAATGCACATGATATCTCACTGCACCGTGAACATCATGTGGAAGATACCAGTGCTCTATCAGGCATTCATGTCTCAATTTACAAAAAGCCAATAAAAACAATGTTGAAAAAATCCATTAACTGTTTTCTATTATACTCCACACAAAATAATACTAAATACTAGTCATGAGTATTTTTGTTAGATGGGCAACTAGGACAGAAAGTGGGTTATAGCTGAGGCTGACTGAACTGGCACCAGGAAGAAACAATGCTCAAGATATAACTAGTGGCTAGGCGCGGTGGCTCACACCTGTAATCCCAGCACTTTGGGAGACCTAGGCGGGCGGATTACCTAAGGTCGGGAGTTTAAGACCAGCTTGACCAATATGGAGAAACCCTGTCTCTACTAAAAATACAAAATTAGCAGGGCATGGTAGCACATGCCTGTAATCCTAGCTACTTGGGAGGCTGAGGCAGGAGAATCGCTTGAACCCAGGAGGCAGAGGTTGTGGTGAGCTGAGATTGCGCCATTGCACTCCAGCCTGGGCAACAAGAGCGAAACTCCGTCTAAAAAAAAAAGCTATAACTAGTAACAGTTACCCAACTAAGTAAATAAAACCAAGAAAATGGAATAAACAGGAAGAACACTGTGTCACAGATGACACAGCTCTATCTGTGTAAGAGAAAGGAAAGGATCTAGTCCACTTCTTCCTTTAGCATCAAAAGAGAAGACAGAAGACAAACTCAAAGAAAGAACAGAAATGGTAGCCAGAAAGCAGAATGCAGAAAGTAGAAATTGGCTTTGTCTCATCCCTTCGGTCTGTGTGGTGGCTGTGAAAGTGGTTGAATAAGAAAACAGGCCAGGTGCAGTAGCTCACATCTGTAATCCCAGCACTTTGAGAGGCCGAGGCAGGAGGATGGCTTGAAGCCAAGTCTACCCTGGCCAATGTGGCAAAAGCCCTTCTAAAAAAAAAAAAAAACAAAAAACTAAAAACAACAGAATTAGATTTCAGAACTGGTTCTGAAATCTAATTCTCTACACTATGCCCAAATGATCAAAACGATCTTTCTGAAATGTAAATTTGATCTTGAAAAGAAAAAAAAATTACAAGAATAAACTTGTAAACAAACAATTAGCATTCTATGATATACTACCTCATCTGTCTACTAAAAAATAATCAACAGTTTATCGGCCAGGCACAGTGGCTGACGCCCATAATCCCAGCACTCTGGGAGGCTGAGGTGAGTGGATCACCTGAGGTCAGCAGTTCGAGACCAGCTGGGCCAACATGGCAAAACCCCATCTCTACTAAAAATATAAAACTAGCCAGGTGTGGTGGTACATGCCTGTAGTCCCAGCTACTCGGGAGGCTGAGGCACGAGGACTGCTTGAACCCGGGAGGTGGAAGTTGCAGTGAGCCGAGATCACGCTACTGCACTCCAGCCTGGGTGACAGAGTGAGACTCCATCTCAAAAAATAATAATAATAATAATTAACAGTTTATTAAATTCTTCCTGCCTTTCTCTGCAAAAAATTATTTTATCCTATTTTCCTGATGAGATCTTTGGGAGCTCTTCCCAAAGCCTTCTCTGACATCTCTATCAAAAAGACCAACACTGCCTCCTACTGCAGCCCTTCCTGAGTACCCCTGGTTGGGGATGCCATCATTCTCTCTTCCAATCTCCACCCTGAACCACATGTGTTTATGTCCAAGTGTAAACTCTCTTAGACCAAACCACCCCAAAGAGGACCTGAATTTGCTTCCTCTGTCTCAGCATCTCTCACAGTTCTATGCATGTACCAAGGCTCAAAACTCATTAAATGAACTGCATGATTCTGAGGGCAAATGGCATGTCTTACATCCCATATGACAGGTTGAATTCTAGTCCCAGTTCTGGCATTCTCTGGCCATGACACTTTGAGCTTGCAAATTCTTATCTTTGGGCCTGTGTCCTCCTCCTGTATAAAATGAGGTTGTTGGAAAAAATGGTCCCTGAGGAAACTTCCAACTTTAAAATGCTATGGTTCTGTAACAGTTAATTTATATCAAAAGGAATACTGGGGATGGGTATCGTGGCTCATGCCTACAATCCCAGCACTTTGCGAGGCCAAGGCAGGAACACTGCTTCAGCTCAGGAGTTCAAGACCAGCCTAGACAACATAGCGAGACCCCATCTCTACAAAACAAACAAAAAAAACAATTAGCTGGGTGAGATGGTGCACACCTGTAGTCCCAGCTACTTGGGAAGCTGAGGCGAGAGGATCACTTGAGCCCAGGAGTTTGAGGAGGCAGTGAGCTGTGATCATACCACTGCACTCCAACACGGGTGACAGAGCAAGACCCTGTCTCAAAAAAAAAGTAAAACTGGAGTGGCGGGGAACAAAGAATTGCCTAGAACTTAACTGGTATAGCAGATGGACTGAAGATACAGGTAAACACTTTAAGGAATGCACATATCTCAGTATGGCTTTGTTCAAGGCAACTGGACAATTCCTTGGAAAACTCCCAAATGATACCTAAGAATTGACTGAGGACTCCACGGAATTGGAGCAAGACTCCTGTCCAGCTAAATAAGCAGGGCAGTGATAAGCTGCAGAGACCCAGTTTATTTATGTGCTCCTCAGTGTCTACCACTGTGTGCCACGTCCCCCACCAGGTGTGAGAGACACAGCAGTGAGCAAGCCAGGCATGGCCCCCGCTCTGTGAAGCTGATATTCTTCTTCCGGCCACCAGGCCACTTGTGGGTGGACAGAGATTCCTGTAGACTTTCACCCCTCCTCACTTCTGTGCTTGGGAACATGATCTTCCCCTTCCCCCACTGCCTTCTCTGGGTTCTGCTCTTTACCCGGCTTAACTCCTAATTACCCTCCTGGAGATGCCACTTCTCAGGTGGTCCTGGCTTCATTAGGGCCCCAGTTCTCAGTCCCAATGCTGCACACTGCTCTTCTGTAACACTGGTTATGGCTGTGATTTATTTACTTGTGTGATTTCATTTCTGGGTTCCCCTCTGTACTGGGAAATCCAGAAGGCCAGCATCTGATACACCTTTCTGGTTAAGTCCCACAGTGCAGTCTGCAAAGGGAGCAACCATCCTGGATTTAGGGGGTAAAAAAAAGGTACAGGCCTTACCTGTTCTTTGTCTGTAGCAACATCACCTATGACTAAGACCTGGTATGTTGGGAATCAGGAGGCTGTAGAGTAGATCTCATACTTAGTAACTGCTATTTCTACTGGCCACCAAGCCATCAACAGCCCAGCAAAGCTAAAATATTAGGCTGCTGTAGCCCAGTTGATAAGAAGCCCAGAGTGAATGGCAGACACCAAGTGCAGCTGATACATGAGATTCCAGACCTAGATTTCACTGCAGCACGAGAGCCTCAAACTAAGCTTTGCTTTTTTTTTTCACTCTCTGGCTCTTGGAAGGAAAGAACAACTCATGCTGCTTTGGGGAATTCCACAAGGGTTCAGAATCAGCATACTAAAAAAGGACTTGGTCTCAGAATGCCGATTCCCTGAACTTAGGAAAGGGAAGGAGAAAAAGGACCTCTTGAATAAAGTCAAATACTTGGAATGGTTCATTTCTGCTGGTGGCTCTTTTTAATTCTGGAAGGGTTGCAATGGGCTTGTACACAGAGGGGTTCGGCCCCTGCACTCACGTGGTATCGTCCCAGCGCTGTAGACACTGGCTGTGGAAGCTGTGGTTACATAACGTTGTGAGGATGCCATTCACAGACTCGTCCATGCGCTCCAGACACACCGTGCACTTGGGGAGTTCAGTCAGGTCCATCACTGGGAGGCTGGCGCCCTACAGGAAACACCTCACATAAGCCTCACTCTTCATCTACCAGCAATACTTTATTTTTCCTTCTTTTTTCTGAGACAGGGTCTCGCTCTCTGTCACCCACGCTGGAGCCCAGTGGCGCAATCATGGCTCATTACAGCCTTGACCTCCCAGGCTCAAGAGATCTGCCCACCTCAGGCTCCCCAGTAGCTGGGACTACAGGCATGAGCCACTGTGCCAGGCCTTTCTTCTTTTAATAATAGTTTTCTAGTTGCTTTTTTGACTCCTGGCAGGATATCCTCAATATCATTACTCTAAGCAAGTAATTTAAATTGGTAATATTTTCATTCATTTATTCATTCATTCAAGAAACAGGGATGGAGTACCTCCTGTGTTCCAGCACTGTGCCAGGTACTGGGAGTACAGCGGTGAACAAAACAAAGATCTCTGCCCTTACAGAACTGACATTCCAGGAAGGGAGACTGCTGTCAAAACCTTAACATATAAATCTCAAATGTGACCAGACTCCTAGCTCAAGCTCTAAGTGTCTACGACTATAATAGAACACAAAGGAACAAAAGAATAGCTGGACCTGAAGGATTTTTCCATAGAGTAAGTTATAACTTAACACTTTCTACTCAGTGATGACAGCACCAACAACACTGATTTTTCTTTATTCCCTCATTGTACAGATAGAGATTGAGCCCCTGCTATGTGCAGCAGACAGACACTGTTCTAGGTGTGGAACAGTGGTGAGCAAAAACAGATACGTTAAGTCCAAAAAACAGTCAGCTCCTGCCCCCACAGAGTTTAGAATCTAGTGGAGGGAGAGACAAAAATCAAATTAAAAAGCAAACAGTACAGGAAGCCACAACAGGGTGTGAATTAGGGGGCATGACAGTCTAGATGGTCAGGAAAGGCATTCCTAAGACAGTGCTTGACTTGACGCTTCCAGCCAGAAGACGAGAAAGAATTACTTAGGCAAAGGTCAGGGAGCACACACTTATGGACAGAGAAAAAGCACATTAACCTACAGTCCCTGAAGAGTAGATACTTACAGGAAATCTCTCAAGAAGCCACGTTCATTTAAGAAAGGAATCTCTAAAACTGAGGCCTCGTGCAGCAGCCAGCACAAAGGATGCCCAATTTTATCACGTCAATTTTTTTTTGAGTTTGACAAATTTATCGGTATTTTAGTAAAGACATTCATCTCAGTTGTTTCTCTCTCCCAGCTTGACCTTAGGTTAATATTTCATTTGGGTCAAGAAAAGAATATCTAGGAGAGGTATGTTAACAAACAGGAAAATGGACAAAAATTGATAGTTTGCCTACATTAAAGTAAGTTAAATTCATGTATTTTGATATAATTAAATCATGTAAGAACTAAGAGTTCTATATACATTTCCATTGTTTTACTTGGGGCTCATTCTAAACTTAAATGCTAGTGAACAAGTGTTAGGAATATACACAGGATGCTTCTCTGGAGTTATTACCAACTAAAAGAGCTCAGCGAGCAGTTACCACCAATAAAACAGTCTGAAGCTGCCTCCAAATATAATATTGTAGGAGTTTTCAAGGAAATGTTTATACTGTATGCTTCTTTTGTCTGTGACTATGCTTTTAAAGATGTGTTTAACTGTCACATTAAAAAAGATGCCGGGCGGGGTGGCTCACGCCTGTTAAGTCCAGCACTTTGGGAGGCCGAGGCGGGTGGATCACAAGGTCAGGAGTTCAAGATCAGCCTGGCCAAGAGGGTGAAACCCTGTCTCCACTAAAAACACAAAAAATTAGCCGGGTGTGGTCGTGGGTGCCTGTAATCCCAGTTACTTGGGAGGATGAGGCAGAGAATTTCTTGAACCCAGGAGGTAGAGGATGCAGTGAGCTGAGATCACACCACTGCACTCCAGCCTGGGAGACAGAGTGAAACTCCGTCTCAAAAAAAAAAAAAAAAAAAAAAAGCTCATACACAATACAAAAATACAAAAACTAACACCCTACAATATACAAATCTCACAAAGTATATGTGGTGAGATTCCAAAAAAATGTTTGAAGATGCATTTTCTTTCCTTCTACTCCAGTATCTAAAATGTGCTTTTTGAGAGGCCATTGGTCAACATGTATACATTTAAAATCAACCATGTAATTTTACTAGTAAGAAAGCTGGGGCTGGCACGGTGGCTCACACCCGTAATCCCAGCACTTTGGGAGGCCAAGGCAGGCGGATCACGAGGTCAAGAGTTTGAGACCAGCCTGGCCAACGTGGTGAAACCCCATCTCTACTAAGAACACAAAAATTAGCTGGGCATGGTGGTGCATACCTGTAATCCCAGCTACTCAGGAGGCTGAGGCAGGAGAATCACTTGAACCTGGGAGGCATAGGCTGCAGTGAGCCGAGACTGCTCCAATGCACTCCAGCCTGGGCGACAGAGCAAGACTCCGTCTGGGTCGGGGCGGGGTGTGGGGGAAGCCAGTAGTTAAGTTCAATTTAAATTGGATTCACAAGTTAGTAATTTAAATCCTCAGACAAAGTTACAGAAAGTGTATCTTCTTGTTTTCCATCTTCATACAATGTTAATTTTTTTTTTTTTGGTGTTTATACTTTTTAAAAAAATAAAAATAGTCAAATGCTTAATATGTACATTTAATTTTTTGGTGGTGGTTTGTATTTTAAAAGAAACAGCTTCCTTATGATTTGGCTCAAGTTCTGGTGGAAATGCTTACAGCAACTAGCTAATAAACAAAAAACAAGAGAAGCACATTCGAAATACTGATTTACTTTGGTAGCAAATGGTTTTTCTTTGAAGACAAATGAAGATACACAAGACCCATTAAGGTGAAGTGGGCTATTTCAAATATTCAACAGTTTACATTAAAAAGAATTCTTTTTTTTTTTTTTTAATTTGTTTTTTTTGAGACAGAGTCTCGCTCTGTCGCCCAGGCTGGAGTGCAGTGGCACAATCTCGGCTCACTGCAAGCTCCGCCTCCCGGGTTCACGCCATTCTCCTGCCTCAGCCTCCCGAGTAGCTGGGACTACAGGTGCCCACCACAACGCCTAGCTAATTTTTTGTATTTTTAGTAGAGATGGGTTTTCACCATGTTAACCAAGATGGTCTCGATCTCCTGACCTCGTGATCCACCCTCAACCTCCCAAAGTGCTGGGATTACAGGCGTGAGCCACTGCGTCTGGCCAAAAAAAATTCTTTTAAGAGCTAAGCATCTGTATCCACTGATAGCAATGCAATACCTACTTTATGATGACTTGAAACAAAACAAATGCCTATAAGGAAAAAAGCTGCATTTTAATTTTATCTAAATTTACGTTCAGTCAATAGTTAAGTAACGTTTTCCTCCCAATACTCCCTGTCTCTAGAAGGCTGTTCCTGGGAGCCAGACAAGTTTAGGTAATAAGGGAGTTAAGAGAGTAACTGCTTACAGTTTTAAACAGACAATAACTATTTGCTTCTCTCTCTTTTTTTTTTTTTTGAGACGGAGTTTCGCTCTTGTTGCCCAGGCTGGAGTGCAATGGTGTGATCTTGGCTCACCGCAACCTCTGCCTCCTGGGTTCAAGTGATTCTACCTCAGCCTCCTGAGTAGCTAGGATTACAGGCATACGCCACCATGCCTGGCTAATTTTGTATTTTTAGTAGAGACGGGGTTTCTTCATGTTGGTCAGGTTGGTCTTGAACTCCTGACCTCAGGTGATCCGCCTGCCTTCGCCTCCCGAAGTGCTGGGATTACAGGTGTGAGCCACCATGCCCGGCTTTGCTTCCCTCTTAATGTGTTAATAGTTGTCTCTAAAAATATATGCAATTCTTAAAAAGGTACCATTTCTGATTTATTATCTGTAACCTTTGGAAACTAATCACATGAAACTACAAAATTAGCAAATGTCTTGAAATCTGTATATAAAACATAAATTACCTCTAATTTTGAACCCTAACTTATTAGTGTACAGCTCAATATTTAAACAAAAAATGAAAGAGAAAAAAAAAGTGGCTCCAAAAATAGTCTTATACCATTCTTTAAAAAAGGAAACTGTTCCTTTTAAGTTTACACCCACCCCACACCCCAATTTCAAAACATCGTTTAATTGTCTTGGTCATTGACATTTCCAACATAAGATTTTATATTTCGCTCCCATAGCTTCTGGTTATCAAAAAACCCATGCTTTCTTTTATTGAAGGAGTTTGGTCCAGCTGATGTTGGTGTATCCCTTCCAATATTCTTCATCTTCATCTTTGCTTCTGGAGATTTCCTCTGGTTCACTATCTTCATCTTCATTAAAAGCTGCTGCTCCTGAAAAAGTGCTTGGAGCAAGAGTTGGAACAGTTTCTTTTGGCTTATTTGATCCAAGTTTGATGGATATTGTTGATGCTTTCTTTGTCATCCAACTAAGGCAAATCCAAACTTGGAGATCACTGTAGGCTTTGTTGGGAGGTCTGCAGCTTCTTCTTCATCTGACCGTTTCTCAATGCTGCGACTGGAACTTTCCCCTCCATTACTGGAAGAAACAGTTTTAGTTTTCACAAGTTTTTCTGCCTCTTCTTCAGGTCCTCTGGCAGCTCCAGCTCGCTGAGACTTTTCAGCCTTCTTCTCTCCCATCCAACATTTTCCCCCGCCACCCACTTATCAAATTTTGATTTCACCTAATCAAATGCTAAAACAATCTACTCAGAACTAACTTCCATCAAGCGGATCTCAAAGTAAAAAGACCTTCAGGTCTACTTAATTTTTTAATTTTGTTTTTTAGATGGGAGTCTTGTTCTGTTGCCCAGGCTAGAGTGCAGTGGCGCAATCTCAGCTCACTGCAACCTCGGCCTCCGGGGTTTAAGCAATTCTGCCTCAGCCTCCGGAGTAGCTGAGACTACAGGCATCTGCCACGACACCAGGCTAATTTTTGTATATTTAGTAGAGATGAGTTTCCTCATGTTGGCCAGGCTGGTCTCAAACTCCTGACCTCAAGTTATCCGCCCACCTTGGCCTTCTAAAGTGCTGGGATTACAAGCATGAGACATCGCATCTGGCCCAGGTCTAATTTAAAATAAAAGAAATCTGGCCGGGCGCGGTGGCTCATGCCTGTAATCCTAACACTTTGGGAGGCCAAAGTGGGCCGATCACCTGAGATCAGAAGTTTGAGACCAGCCTGGCCAACATGGCAAAACCCCATCTCTACTAAAAATACAAAAAGTAGCCGGGAGTGATGGCGCATGCCTATAGTCCTAGCCACTTGGGATTCTGAGGCACGAGAATTGCCTGAACCTGGGAGGTGGAGGTTATAGTGAGCCAAGATCACGCCACTATACTCCAGCCTGGGTGACAGAGTGAGACTCATGTCTCCAAAAAAAAAAGAAAGGAAAAAGAAATCTTAATCTTAAAATATATCTTAAAATAAAGAGCTGTATTGCTACTTTACAAAATGATTCCAGTGACCACATAATATAGGAAAGGTTCCCATGGGAGTGAAAGATCAGAGCCATCACAAATTGCTATCAAAACAGAATCAACGCCATGCACAGTGGCTCATGCTTATAATCCCAGCACTTTGGGAGGCCAAGGTGGGCAGATCACTTGAGGCCAGGAGTTCGAGACTAGCCTGGCCAGTGTGGTGAAACCCCATCTCCACTAAAAATAAAAAAATTAGCCTGGCATAGTGGCGTATGCCTGTAATCCCAGCTACTCAGGAGGGTGAGGCACAAGAATCGCTTGAACCTGGGAGGTGGAGGTTGCAGTGAGCCAAGAGAGTGCCACTGCACTCCAGCCTGGGCAACAGAGTGACACTCTGTCTCCAAAACAAAACAAAACGGAATCAAGAGGCCAGGCACAGTCGCTCACACTTGTAATCCCAGCACTTTGGAAGGCCATGGTGGGAAAAATGCTTGAGCTGAGGAGTTCAAGAACAGTCTGGGTAACAGAGAGACTTTTTTTTTTTTTTTTTTTTTTTGAGACAGGGTCTCACTGTTGCCCAGGCTAGAGTGCAATGGCAAGATCACGGCTCACTATAGCCTGGACCTCCCCCGACTCAGGTGATCTTCCTGCTTCAGGGTCCTGAGTAGCTGGGACCAAAGGTGCTCAGCATCACACCTGGCTAATTTTTGTATTTTTTGTAGAGACAGGGTTTCGTCATGTTGCCCAGCCTGGTCTCGAATTCCTACACTCAAGCAATCCATCACCTCGGCCTCCCAACTCCTGTGCTCAAGCGATCCGTCACCTCAGCCTCCCAAAGAGCTGGGATTATAGGCATGAACCACCGCGCCCAGCCAGGGTGATCTTGTCTCTAAAACAAATTTAAAAAATTAGCCAGGCGTGGTGGTACACACTTGTAGTCCCAGCTACCCAGGAGGCTGAGGCTAGCAGATGCTTGAACTGGAGAGACAGAGGCTGCAGTGAGCCAAGGTCACACCACTGTGCTCCAGCCTAGGTGACACAGCGAGACCCTGTCTCAAAAATAAAAGGCAGAAACAAGAATTAGGAGTTAATATTGAAAACAAAAACATTTATTTTCAGCTCCAGGCTTCGTTGATCTAGAATTGATAAACACTCAATTTCAACAATGCAGTATCTTTTTTCTTTTTTTTTACGTTTTTTGAAATTTTAGAAAATGAGATATTCAATAAAATTCTCTATTTTAAAGTATACAGTTCATTGGCTTGTAGTATATTCACAAGGTTGTGCAACTGTCATCACTATCTAATTCTAGAACACGTCCATCACTTCCAGAAGAAAGCCTGTATCCTGTTAGCAGGCACTCCCCATTCGTCTCTTCCTGCCCTGATAACCACCAGTCTACTTTCTGTGTCTATGGACTGGCCTATTCTGGGTATTTCACAGATACCTTAGCATTCAATTTTACACCAATCTGATATATTTTAATTAAATATAGGAACAATTCACACTTACATCTTCAGATTTGAGCACTTCAGCTCTTTCCACATACACTAGCTGGCAAACGTCATCTTCTATTGAGTTGAACTGGCGGCCATTGCATGTCATATAAAAACTATCCGCATCAGCCTATGTACACCAATGGGGAAAAGGAAAAAAATTAAGACAGATACCCTGAAAATCTGCTTTATATTCAATATGCATGGCTTTATTCATTCTCATCAGCTTTTAAAATTTATACTTAGGAGAGAGAGCAACCACCAAAAGTCACATCTACTGAAGCTGATTGGTAGGCTAATCACACTCTGTAAGTCAATATTCCATGTTTACAGTATTTCCTGGGCTACAACAGAGTTTTTACCTGAACTGGCAGAAGGTACTGAAGTGCAACAAGCTGAAAGCTGGTACAATTTTCATATTCAACCAGCAACAGTCAACATTTCCCTTAATAGCAGTTTTTTTTCCCTCTAGTCATCACTTGTGCAGCTGAAAGTAAACACTCATTTCTGCAAAGCCTGGAACCAAATAATAACTGACGCTTGTTATGAAAGAACTCTTTAAGGAAATGTCAGCATTGGGCTGGGCGTGGTGGCTCACGCCTGTAATCCCAGCGCTTTGGGAGGCCGAGGCGGGCGGATCGCCTAAGGTGAGGAGTTTGAGACCAGCCTGACCAACATGGAGAAACCCTGTCTCTACTAAAAATACAAAATTAGCCGGGCCTGGTGGCCCACGCCTATAATCCCAGCTACTCGGGAGGCTGAGGCAGGAGAATCGCTTGCACCCAGGATGCAGAGGTTGCGATGAGCTGAGATCGGGCCATTGTACTCTAGCCTGGGCAACAAGAGCGAAACTTCATCTCAAAAAGAAAAAAAAAAAAAAAAAGAAAGAAAATGTCAGCACTTATGTTAGAAAAAAATAAAAGACCAGGGGAACTGGTATGAGATGAAAAACCAACTACTCTTTAATAAACCAAATAATAATAATAATAATATATGATAGTTAGATCCCATCTAATGGGTCCCATCAGGAGGTCTTAAACCGCCACCTAGTGTCCAATACCAAAAGCAAAGCTCTTGGTCAAGGTCAAGGGGCCCAAGATGAACCAGCCTTTAAAATACTAACAGTCTCATTTGCTAGCGTTAGAAAATGGGTGAAATGTGGACAAACAGTCCCTTTGAGGCAAAGCTGCAAAGGCACATGTGCGTCTATGAAATGGACACAGGTAAACAGAACCTTCTAGTCTAGCCTTAGTAGCAAGCAATGGAGACGATTCCAGTTTTTAAACTCAGCCAATTTTTTAAGGCAAGCGGGGAGGCCAAGGCTTGTCTGGATTTTATTCCCATACGGGCATTAATCCAAACACAGAAAGTTATGTGCTTTGGCCCTACCAACATTGACAGGCTGCTTCTGGGAATTCTGCAACAGGAAATGCAGCATCGTCAACCTTAAGGAAGAGATTCAGGGCTGCACCAGGCAAAAATATTCCTGCCTGTCCACCCTCACAAGGTTCTGAATCTCACAGACACTGTAAGCTTCTCGATAGCTTTTAATTCCCCTCTAATGAGGTAATTGTGAATTCTTGATTACTTATGCTTCCCCCCCACCTTTTTTTTTTGAGATGGTGTCTCGCTTTGTCACCCAGGCTGGAGAGCAATGGCATGACGTCAGCTCACTGCAACCTCTGCCTCCCAGGTTCAAGCAATTCTCCTGTCTCAGTCTCCTGTGTAGCTGTGATTATAGGCATACGCCACCACACCCAGCTAATTTTTTGTATTTTAGTAGACACAGGGTTTCACCAAGTTACCCAGGCTCGTCTCGAACTCCTGAGCTCTGGCAATCCACCCACCTCGGTCTCCCAAAGTGTTAGGATTACAGGCGTGAGCCACCGCGCCTGGCTACTTATGCTTTCTTAACATGACCAAGTGAGCTAAGCAGCTGAGGAAGGATGATCAATTCTGAATATACTTTTATTTTGGAGGGGCAGAGTGGCAGCAGGTCGGGGTGGAGAGGCTTTACTTAAGAAAATAATCCGTGTATTGAGCATAGTGCATTACAATTTGAAAATGTTTAAAGCCAGCTGTTGGAGAAGAAGCCTCTTTAATACTAAGAGGTTACAACCTAATATGGCTTCCCCCATTCTTCAGGAGCAACGGTTTCTTGAAATGCTTTTGGCTAAGTAAGCAGCAAAGTCAGCACATGGATTCACCAGGAGAAAACGGACTGCCTGAAAGTCAGGGCCTTCTCTCACCTCTTCAGAGCCTCAGGCACCACCAGTGGCTGGTAGAGCCCTCTTGGGGTCTAGAGCTCTGCAAATGCTCACTAAACGACCAGCCTCCTCTACAGGAAAGGATAAGGCATGTGACCAAAACCATTCAATGAATTATTCCTTTCTGCTACCTGAGCCCAGGAGTTTGAGACCAGCCTGGGCAACGTGGCGAAACCCCATCTGTACAAAAAATACAAAAATTAGCCGGGCATGGGGGTGGAAGCCTGTAGTCCCAGCTATTTGGGAGGCTGAGGTGGGAGGATAGCTTGAGCCCAGGAGGTGAAAGCTGCAGTGAGCCGAGATCGTGCCACTGCAGTCCAGCCTGTGCAGCAGAGTGAGACCTTGTCTCCAAAAAAAATAAAATAAAATAAAAAAGGAGAAGAAGCATGTAGGTGAGTTGTCATGGTGGCCTACACTAGGATGATTGTGGCAGAAATGAAAAAAGTAAAAAGAAAAAGTACTTTTTTGTAATGACAACATCACTAAACAGCTGAGATTTCCCAATTAACATATTGATCTCTTCTTTAAAATCTTGGTATTAGAAATGCACCTTCACCTGTTCACATATTTTCTGAGCATCTAGTATGTGCCAGGCCCTGTGCTATGTACTAGGTAGAGAGTAGGGAACAAACTACACATGGTTCCTACTTCAACTCACCATCTAAATGCACTAAACAAAAGCCTGAAGCTAACTGCCAAGAACATTGCAGAAACAGCTTTTATTGAAAATGTTTGCATTGTGTGGACCCAAAACTTTAAATAAACCTGGCTTTTGTTTCCCTCTAGTCCTTTGGTTTTATTGTTCTCTTCTGAGGATTAACTCAGAAAAAGACAAATCCATTATGATCAAGTTCCTTCGCTGTCACAGGAATCAACTACAGTGTTGAGAACATACCTCTACTTCTCCAAGGAGGTGTCTGCTAAGGCTGTGGTAACTAAGCACGCAGGTGAAAAAAGCCAACATACTCTATTAAGTGGTCATCTGTCCTTTTCTGCCCCCAAGAACAACAAAATTGAACTTCCTTCTGCTTTTCCTATGTCCTGAAGAACTGTAAATTCTCTACCCAAAGACCAAGTTTCCTAAGGGTCACACTACAAATTGGTAAGCACACCCCCCCTTTTTTTTTGATCTTTTAAAAAAAATTTTTAAGAAACAGGATCTTGCCATGTTGCCCAGGCTGGTCTTGAACCCCTGGCCTTAAGCAATACTCCTGTCTTGGCCTCCCAAGGTGTTGGGATTACAGACATGAGCCACCACACCTGGCCTCACAACTCTTTCAGCTAAAGCTAAGGCCAACAGAAATTCAAAAATTACCAAAGATAAAGAGAAGGCTTATAAGTCCTTATTTAAAAATCTGTGGTGAGGAAAAGAATAAAAACATAGTTAGGTGCCCAGGCTATGGAGTCAGGCTGCCTAGGTTTGAACCCTAACTCTGACACCTACTAGCTGTTTGGCTGCAGGCAAGTGACTTATCTGTGCCTGTTTCCTCAACTGTAAAATACATGGCATTTTTTTTTTTGAGACAGAGTCTCGCTCTGTTGCCCAGGCTGGAGTACAGTGGTGTGATCTTGACTCACTGCAACCTCCACATCCCAGGTTCAATAGTTTCTCCTGCCTCAGCCTTTCAAGTGGCTGAGATTACAGGCGTGCGCCACCACATCCAGCTAAGTTTTATATTTTTAGTAGACATAAGCTTTTACCATGTTGGCCAGGCTGGTCTCAAACCACTGCCCTCAAGTGTTCCGCCCACCTTGGTCTCTCCCAAAGTGCTGGGATTAAAGGCATGAGGCACTGCACCTGGCCAACATGGCATCGTTGAGAGGATTCAAGGAGACAATGCATGGAAAGCACTTGGCACAGGGTCCGGTCTCTAGTAAGTGCTTCAGAGTTGGTAGCTACTGAGCCTATTATTCTCACTACAGCCGATATTAGTTTAACTTCCAGTCTTACACCAAGAGGGTATTATTAGGTATTAGAAAATCCCTGTTAGGATGATAGGGATTAGCCCCTAAGACCCAGAGTTAGCAATAAATAATACAACTCATGATACCAAGATAAAGGGTTCTAGCCCCATGGGGAAGAGCATGCAGCAACCTGTTTCGCAGTCTCAGAAAAACATGTCAACTTGAGCAACCTTCACTTGATCAAAAGACACAAGGGGAAGGATAGTGCAGATGTACAAGGAAAATTCATTCACAGTAAATATCCACAGTACTACCTGCACATTATGAAGGGCAGTACTTGTTATAGGGAACTGTGTGGGTTTATTAAACAGGTGACTGTGGTGGATTTATACGACTTCAGACTATTTCAAAAGCCTGAGTGCTCTTCAACATTTTTTTCCCAATCTATTTCTGGGTCTTTTCCTTTGTTACTTGCTTATTGCCCTAGTTGTTAAGTAGAAACTGTAACAATACTGCTGTCATAGAATGTCTCACAAACAACCGCCTCCCTTCCCCACACCTTCATCCCACTCCTACTAGAAGAGGAACGCGTCCCTGGAATTAAAAGTGAGGGTGCCACACTCTTGCTTGTCATTTATGTCTAGCTATGTAACCTTGGGCAAACCATGTATCTCCCTCTGCAGTCACCCTCCTCATCTGTAAAACAAAGATAACAACACAGTTTCCGCAAGGGATTGTAGTGAGGATTAAATGAGACAAAGTGTATTGAACACTTAGCACAGTGAGTGATACAGAAGCCATCGATAAACGTTGGATATTATCATCATTATCCTTATTATTACATGTGCTACCAGACTGAAATGGCTTAAGGCACGATTTTCCCATGGTTTGCAAAGCTCCTTGGCACCCTTGGAAGGCTTTCTGATGGACAGTGAAAGGAGCTATTCAAGTGCTTTTCTGTTCTTAATGTCAACTTGTAAACTTTAAATCCAAAGGATAATTGAAACCTTTTAAATGTCTCCCTAAATGATGGGGTACTTTGTAAACAGAAAACATAATAACTGTGTACTCTCTTGCAGACAGAACTCCACACTAAAGCTTCTCTCTGGAGATCACAGAACAGGTACACTCTTCCCCCACTAAAAAGAGAATGAGGCCGGGTGCAGTCGCTCACGCCTGTAATCCCAGCACTTTGGGAGGCTGGGGCGGGCAGATCACCTGAGGTCCAGAGTTTGAGACCAGCCTGACCAACATGGAGAAACTCCGCCTCTACTGAAAATACAAAATTAGCCAGGCATGGTGGTGCATGCCTATAATCCCAGCTACTCCGGAGGCTGAGGCAGAATGGCTTGAACCCAGGAGGTGGAGGTTGCTGTGAGCTGAGATCGTGCCATTGCACTCCAGCCTGGGCAACAAGAGTGAAACTCCGTCTCAAAAAAAAAAAAAAAAAAAATGAAAGAAGTGGGGGTAATGGAAAAATAATAAGATGGTGTTAACTTCAAAAAGTCTGGGAACCACCGCTTTTCTGGAATAGTTACCGCTTGTTTAAAAAAACAAACAGGCCGGGCATGATGGCTCACGCCTGTAATCCTAGCACTTTGGGAGACTGAGGCGGGTGGATCACAAGGTCAGGAGTTCGAGACCAGCCTGGCCAACATAGTGAAACTCTGTCTGCACTAAAAATACAAAAATTAGCCAGGCATGGTGGTGCATGCCTGTAGTCCCAGCTACTCAGGAGGTTGAGGCAGGAAAATCGCTTGAACCCGGGAGGCGGAGGTTGCAGTGAGCCGATACCACACCACTGCACTCCAGCCTGGGCGACAGAGCGAGAATTCGTCTCAAAAAGAAACAAACAAAAAAACACACTAGATTTTTTTTTTTTTTTTTTTTGAGACGGAGTCTCACTCTTGCCACCCAGGCTGGAGTGCAGTGGTGTGATGTCAGCTTTCTGCAACCTCTGCCTCCTTGCAAAACCCTAAACTTCATACTCAATCTGATCTATAAAAAATCATGGGCATGAGGCCAGGTGCAGTGGCTCAGAGCATCTGTAATCCTAGCACTTTGGGAGGCCAAGGCAGGAGGATTGCTTGAGGCCAAGAGTAGCCTGGAAAACACAGCAAGATCTCATCTCTACCGAAAAAAAAAAAAGTGTATACGTTATAATTGTATTTCTGCTAATGAATTTAGAAATACATCTAGAATTACAATTATATCTTAGAAGACATCTCAAGAATCTTAAGTGCAAAATGTTGTAAATCACACACAGCTATCATACAGTTTGAATACCACAGTTTCTGTGGCAAAGAGATTTTTAATAAATTTAATAACTTTTACCTGTGCACGAAACTTTATCAGCACCATATATTGGTTGGGAGTAGAGTCTCTGATAATTTTCATTTGTTCAATTACTTCGTTAAATGGGGCAACAAACTTCATAAGGTCATGACTGGTCATTGCAGCAGGGACTGTGAGAATACACAGCATGGCACTGCGCCGCACATCTTCTTTTAAGGAGGTCATCTTACTAACAAAAAAAAAATTAGAGTGTCTTGAATAGATGAGGTATGGTTAGTTTAAACAATACTAGACAACTTTTATGTCCAAGAAAACAGGAAAAAATAAAAATTGTAATATTTCATTAATGAACTGTTCTATATTATACCCCCCATTGGACTTTTTAATCTTCAGTTCAACATTTATTACGGTTATAAATCTGCATTCGGTAAATTTGCAGTGTTTTACTCTCATCAATGTTTGAATAATAATCTGTCACTGGTGGCCAGGCACAGTAGCTCATGCTCGTAATCCCAGCACTTTGGCAGGCCGAGGCGGGTGGATCACGAGGTCAGGAGATCGAGACCATCCTGGCTAACACGGTGAAACCCCATCTCTACTAAAAATACAAAAAAAATTAGCCGGGCATGGTGGCAGGTGCTTGTAGTCCCAGCTACTTGGGAGGCTGAGGCAGGAGAATGGTGTGAACCTGGGAGGCAGAGCTTGCAGTGAGCCAATATCGCGCCATTGCACTCCAGCCTGGGCCACAGAGCAAGACTCCATCTCAAAAAAAAAAAAAAAAAAAAAAATCTGTCACTGGTTAACTTAAAAGCACAACTCTGGCTATGGACCTCTCTTAAAAGGCCTAAAAAAACAGCTCTAAATATACGAGAGAATTCTGTCTTTTTTTTTTTCAGAGTCTTGCTGCATGGTCTCGGCTCACTGCAACCTCTGACTCCTGGGTTCAAGCAATTCTCCTGCTCAGCCTCCCAAGTAGCTGGGATTACAGACGCGTGCCACCACGCCGGGCTAATTTTTGTATTTTTAGTAGAGATGGGGTTTCACTATGTTGGCCAGGCTGGTTTCGAACTCCTGACCTCGTGATCCCCCGCCTCGGCCTCCCAAAGTACTGGGATTACAGGCGTGAGCCACCACGCCCGGCAAGAGAGAATTCTAAACCATGAGGATGTAACTGAGGATTACAGGAAGTGTTACCAAGTTGAGATGGCTGGAATAGAGAGGAAAGAAAATCCTCCCACAATGCAATTTGTTTTTTGAAATGCTGCAAACTCACTTGACAGCTGTGATCCAGAATGGCTACCTGTGCCGGGTGCAGTGACTCACACCTGTAATCCCAACACTTTGGGAGGCTGAGGTGGGCTGATCACTTGAGGTTAGGAGTTCGAGACCAGCCTAGCCAACATGATGAAACCCCATCTCTGCCAAAAAAAAAAAAAAAATTAACTGGGCGTGGTGGTGTGCACCTGTGGTCCCAGCTACTCTGAGGCAGGAGAATTGCTTGAACCCGGGAGGGGAGGTTGCAGTGAGCCAGGATTGCACCACTGCACTCCAGCCTGAGTTATGGAGTGAGACCCTGTCTCAAAAAAAAACAAAACAAAAAACAAAACAAAAAACAAAACAAAAAACAAAATGGCTACCTGAATAGTCACTGTTTTCCCAGTAGAGATCTGGCAAATGAGTTAGCACAAGAACAGCCTTAAGGTATCAGCTACCATTACCCAAGAAGGTAGTGGCTGGGCTTGTGGATTATCTAGCCAAATGCTTCCTTTCCTTGGGGCTCTAGCAAGCTTTGTTTGAACCACAGAAAATGGTAAAAAAGAGGTAATAAAATTGTAATGAGTTAACTGACTTCTTAGCAGCCTCTTCAGTAAAGATTTGGTGGGGACATGAGACTACAAAGATGCTGTGGATCATTTTCTTTGTCCTTTCAATTCCCCATCACCTTCCATGCCTATCTGCTAAGAAAACATTTTCCTGGCAGGGCGCAGTGGCTCACGCCTGTAATCCCAGCACTTTGGGAGGCTGAGGCGGGCGGATAACCTGAGGTCGGAGTTCAAGACCAGCCTGGCCAACAGGGTGAAACCCCATCTCTACTAAAAATACAAAAAATTAGCTAGGTGTGGTGGTGGGCACCTGTAATCCCAGCTACTTGGGAGGCTGAGGAAGGAGAATCACTTGAACTCAGGAGGCAGAAGATGCAGTGATCTGAGATCGCGCCATTGCACTCCAGCCTGGGCAACGAGACCGAAACTCCATTTCAAAAAAAAAAAAAGAAAACATTTTTCCCACATATTCTCTTAAGTGTATCCACAAGCATTTCTTTTATAAGGAAAAGCTTTGACCCAATCCACAAGATTAATCAAATGTAAAACATCTGAGAATTCTCTAACATACAACAGACAAAAGTATTATTATTTTGAAGCTTAAAATACCCACTTTCCTTCAGGACAAGAGACTATGCTAAAGCAAAGCAAAAAAAAAAAAAAAAAAATTGACTAACCCCCAAGAAAAGAGGGTTTTCTTACTTTGTCTTATATAGGTGCATAATACCATGAACTATTTCAACTGATGGATTTCCACTGAAGAATGAAATCTGGTCTGGAAGCTGTTTGGACGGAGAATCTGGGGCAGCGTTTATGCATTCCTTACTGTGATCTTTACTTCTTTGCGCAGTGGGGGAGGCTTCTGAAGACTTCCTTTCTTCCACTGTAGTTTTTAGTTCATCTTTCACCAGTTAAAAAATAGCAGATTATAAATGGATAGGACATATGCTGAAGGATTTGAACTAGATTAAAATTTCAAGTCAGAGGAATAAACTTTGATAGAGTAATTACAATGTAATGCATTAACAGCTATTATTTGTAGAATAGCTGAGTTTATGAGGGCATCATACTTTAAAGCTCTCTTTGCTCCATAAAAATCTCATTAACACCCTCAGAAACTTAAGGATGGCTATTACATTTGGCAATACCATAATGCAAGCAGGTATCTTCTATCACGAAATCCTAACTGGGACAAACATTCAGGGCTACTAAGGTGGAAATCCAAACCTACCAGTTCTGACCACCTCCATGTTGGAGATGTAGTACTATCTACACATCCACTTCCGCAGATAAAATGAGCTGGCTGGCCGGGTGCAGTGGCTCATGCCTGTAATCCCAGCACTTTGGGAGGTCAAGAGGTTGAGACCATCCTGGCTCACATGGTGAAACCCTGTCTCTACCAAAAATACAAAAATTAGCTGGGTGTAGTAGCGTGCACCTGTAGTCCCAGCTACTTGGGAGGCTGAGAGAGGAAGGAGAATTGCTTGAAACCAGGAGGTGGAGTTGCAGTAAGCCGAGATCATGCCACTGCACTCCCACCTGGGGACAAAGTGAGACTGTCTCAAAAAAAAAAAAAAAAAAAAAGAAAAGAAAGAAAGAAAAAATGAGCTGGCAGAGCAGGGGAAGGCACGACATGTTTATTTGGACACATTAATGATCTGCCACTGAACTAGGTGGTAAGAAATTCTCCCTGGTAGCCGGGTGTGGTGGCTCACACCTGTAATTCCAGCACTTTGGGAGGCCGAGGCAGGTGGATCACTTGAGACCAGGAGTATGAGACCAGCCTGGCTAACATGGAGAAACCTTGTCTCTACTGAAAATACAAAAATTACCCAGGCGTGGTAGAGGGCATCTGTAATCCCAGCTACTTGGGAGGCTGAGGCAGGAAGACTGCTTCAGCCCAGGAGGCTGAGGTTGTAATGACCCGACATTGCACCACTGCACTCTAGCCTGGGCAACAGAGACCCTGCCTCAAAAAAAAAAGTCCCCCCCGTCACTGAACTGAATTGTCAACTCCAACTGTTAGGATTAATTTGGAAGAAATATTTGGAAACACTAACATGTGGCTTAACAGTGTCATATAAAGCACACACGTAGTGAAAGACAAAAGTATGCTAGATGTTGAAATTGTAGGCTCATCAAACACCGTGTATAAAATAGGCAACCAGTGTTCACATTACAAAAGAGAGTCCAGGGTTTTAGAAAGCATACCTGGGTTGGACTTCATGGTCTCAATGATCACATCTGTCATTTCTCGACGGCCGAGATGCTGATGGATAATCGCTACTTTCTCTCCTGGTGACTTGCCTTCTAAACAGGCTACAGCTGAGGCTAGTGTCGTCTTTTTTATCTCCTCATCAGACATTTCCCCGGCTAAAGAACACATGAATGATTAATACAAGGTAATAAAACAAGCTCCTCTCTGTTCTCTATTCCTCTATCATTAGGTTTTCCTTTTCTTTCTCCTGCCTTCCGCCAAGATGATAAGAAGCCTTTGTAGTATCCATCTCACTCAACTCTGGGACCACTGCAGTACACAGCAAAGAGTCAATAAGCAGCCAGGACAATATACTCAGAAATGCAGGGCTGTTCTACTGAAATCATGCACTTTATTTTTATTTTTTGAGACAGAGTCTCACTCTGTCACCCAGGCTGGAGTGCAGTGGTGTGATCTTGGCTCACTGCAACCTCCACCTCCCAGGTTCAAGTGATTCTCCTGCCCCAGCCTCCCGAGTAGCTGGGATTACAGGCACGTGCCACCACGCCCAGCTAATTTTTGTACTTTCAGTAGAGATGGGGCTTCACCATGTTGGACAGGCTGGTCTCGAACTCCTGGCCTCAAAGTGATCCACCCGCCTTGACCTCCCAAAGCGCTGGAATTACAGGTTTGAGCCACTGCGCCTGGCCCAAAATCATGCACTTTAAAGCAAATCGCCAAAGAGGGAGCCTTAGAGAAGATGCAACAGTGATCATGCCCAGATGAGCTAACATTTTAGTAACACCTGATAAAATGAAATTGTGTTCAGCCCAAAATGAAGCTATCAAGTCCATTAAAAAAACAAAATTTCAAAAACTTGTAGGGGTAGTCTTAAACATCCTGGCTTATGCTCATGCCATGAACCAAGCCATGAACATCTGTGATTACTGTCTTAAATCAATGAAACACATGAAAAGGGAAACGGAATTTGGAGACTTAACTGAAATATCCCTAATACATGCTCTGTCAGGGCAGGGACAAGGCCTGTTTTGCCCACCACTGTATTCCCAGCCCTTATACCACAGTGCCGAGCACACAGAGGAAGCCCTCTAAATGTTTGATGAATAAATGACTACATGACTGACCCATGCAGATGTCTATATGCGGCTAATATCAATTTAGCTGACTCTCAGAACTCAGAAGCCACTTTTAGCCTTTGGAAAGGTGCTCATAAGCTATAAAGTCATATTCAATCTTTAATTTGCAGCTTCAAAGGTCACGTCCTCAGGAAGTTCCCAATGACACCATCCCTACCTGCCCCCATCCCTCTCTCCAAACCAAACACATCTTCTTGTAATACTTTCCCAAATTGTTTCTCCTTTCCTTCACAGCACTTACCACAGTTGTAATTCTACACATATTCTGCACTTATTTAATTCATCTGTTTCCTCCATGATACTGCTGGTGCCATTAAAACAGAGACGCTGTCTGATTCAGCACACAAGGAAGGCTCCAGCAGATATGAGCATAAGTTTTTTTTTTGTTTTTTTTTTTGAAATGGACTTTATCTCTTGTCGCCCAGGCTGGAGTGCAGTGCCACAATCTTGGCTCACCGCAACCTCCACCTCCCGGGTTCAAGCGATTCTCCTGCCTCAGCCTCCCCAGTAGCTGGGATTACAGGCACCTGTCACCACGCCCAGCTAATTTTTGTATTTTTAGTACAGACAGGGTTTCACCATGTTGGCCAGGCTGGTCTTGAACTCTCAACCTCAGGTGACCCGCCCGCCTCGGCCTCCCAAAGTGTGAGGATTACAGGCGTGAGCCACCGCGCCCGGCCAAGTATTTCTTGAATGAATGTTAGTTAATTATCTGAGGACCAAGGAACAGAGCCAGAGCTGCATTCCCCACTAAGGAGCTTCCTCACTTGTGTTAATGGTGTAAAAAGCTCAGACTCAAGTCCAGCTCACTGAGTTAGAATCCCAGTTTCACCCATTACAGATAACCTTGGGCAAATCAATTAATCACTAAGCTTCAGTTTCCCAATGTGTAAGAGGTACATGTCACATCCATCTGCCTCTTAGGGCTGTTGCAAAGATAATTAAAGAATACAATACACAAAAGGTGCTTAGTACAGTGCTGGGATATAGGAAGTGTCCAAATTTTAGTTATGACTATGGTTAGGGGGCACTTCAATGGATATCGTTCCAAAAGGGAACAATTTAATTAACCCAGGGACCGTCCAGCGTTGCTGGGGACCCAGTCCCTGCCTTTACGAAGCCCATAGGGAAGCAAGTGAGACAAACACACCACTCGACTATCTCGAGAGGGAGACGCGCCAGGTATAAACTAAATGCCCTCAGACGGCACAGGGAGGGAGGTTCGGGGCAGGGCTTCCCTGAGATAACAAACGGGAAGGCCTCTCAAAGGCGGATGGGAAAGAGAGGGATCCCGATTACCTCTCCGTGTCTTCCTGGGCAACAGCCCTCGCCGCGGGCTTTTCCCGGGCCAGTGCTTTGGGAAGGGAAGCCCTCCGGGCCCAGACCCGGCTACAGGGAATGCGGCGAGGCCGCGGGACTCACCCGCGGCGCTGAAGCCGAAGCCGGCGGGGACAGGCGAGTGTTCCGCGAGCTCCAATCGGATAACAACCAGTGACACACTCATAGGGCAGGCGCTGGCCGGCGCGGGCCCCGGCGGGCTCAGGCGAGGCTGGAAGGCGAGCCGAGAGGCCGAGCGGCCCGGGGCCGGCAGCGCCGCCACCACCTCAATGCAGTTGCCGCCGCCTCAGCAGCAGCAGCTCCTCGAACAGCCCTCGGAGCCACAACAACCTCCACTTCCGCCTCCCGGCCGCCGTCGCTGACCTGCGGTTTACGCATGCGCGCAGGACCGCGCACAGCGATTGGGCGGCGTGGCAGGGGTCACCCACTGCTCTTCCGGACGCAATTTTGAGGAGGTCGGAGCGGAAGGACGTCGTGGAGATTGCTTGCGCTGGGGTGCCACACTTAGGCTGAGCTGCAGGTTTTCGCACAGTCGCGAGTTAACCTCTGCTTGCTCCAGAGGCCTCGTCCTAATCCACCTCGGCTGACGGCGCGGGATCCCTGGCTCCGCGAGGTCTCCGAATTGTCCGAGCTATCTGCTATGCAGAACTTTGCCCCTTTTGTTGTGTTTGACTCCTGTCTCTAACCCTAGTCTGGATGGTTTTGTTTCTGTCCCACTTTACAGATAGGTACAACGAGGCTCAGAGAGGTGAAGTTCCTTCTAAGGGGCCGTAGAGAGTGGAGAGTCGATCGCTGTTCAGATAGCGATCTGGCTGGGCGCGGTGGCTCACGCCTGTAATCCCAGCCCAGAGGCTTAGGCGGGCGAATCACCTCAGGTCAGCAGTTCGAGACCAACCTGGCCAACATGGTGAAACCTCGTCTCTACTGAACATACAAAAAATTAGCCGGGCTTGGTGGCGCGCGTCTGTAGTCCAAGCTACTTGGGAGGCTGAGACAGGAGAATCGCTTGAACCCGGGAGGCGGAGGTTGCAGTGAGTCGAGATAGTGCTAGTGCACTCCCGCCTGGGCAACAAGAGCGAAACTCCGTCTCAAAAAAAAGAGAGAAAAGATGGTGATCTGCTGGTTACGAGCATAGTGCTGCAGTTAGACCGGGGTCCTCCTCCCCACCCTGTCACTTCACAAATGTTTACTGAGAGTCTAGACACCCTTGGGATGCTTGAGATACGTTGGCGTATAAGATAAACACAGTTCCTGTCCGTACTATGAGGTTGACCTACATCAGCAGTTGTGCAGTCTTGAACTAGTATAGTCATTGCATAAAGTTGGCATGATATCATGTCCTCATGCAGTTGTGAGGATGAAATGGAATTATGTATATGGAGATAACATTAGCTTTTCTGAGGCTCAGCATTCTTTCCAGTATGTCAGAGTGGCTTTTGTATGTAGATACTGACACAATCAATGCATATGGGACACATACATGACAGGATGCTACTCTAGGTACATTGTATAATGATACATATGTAAGTACATAGTACATTCTAGATGTGTGTGTGTGTGGACATAGTGCGTTCTAGATGTGTGTGTATCTGGACTATGACATGACCACAAGATACATGCGTATATAGATCTTGTGACTACATCCTATGAAATACGTTTCCATATGCCCTGTTTAAATCAGGGTTTCTCAACTCTGCACTATTAACATTTTGGGTCCTGATTATTCTTTTTTGTTTTTGGCAAGGGGGCGGGGTGTCCTGAGCATTGTAGAGTGTTTAGAAACATCCCTGGCCTGACCCACTAGATGTCAGTAGCACCTCTCCCCAGGTGGTGACAACCAATAATGTCTCTGGACCTTTCCAGATGTCTCCTTGGGGTTAGAAAACATAACCCTGTTGAAGAATCACAGGGTTATGTGAAAGTGCATAAACCATACACACATACTGTATGCATAAAACCTATGAGACCTCTTGTGAACTTTTTTAGTATATTACTATAGTAGATAACATTTCAACATGTGCCAGGTACTAATTTGAGTGTTTCATATACCTTGTGTCATGCAATGGTCACAACAACTTTATGAAACTGGTACTATGTCCCTGTTCTACAGAGGAGTAACCTGAGGCTTGGAGGAAGAGTAACTGGCTCAGGATTTCACAGGTAGTAGTGGCAGAGCTGGAACTGAAATTCAGGCAATCTGAATCCAGAACGAACATTCTTTATCTCTTTACCAAACAAACCTTTTTTTTTTTTTGTATTTTGAGACGGAGTCTCACTCTGTCGCCCAGGCTGGAGTGCAGTGGTGCCATCTCGGCTCACTGCAACCTCGGCTTCCTGGGTTCAAGCTTCCTGCCTCAGTCTCCCAAGTAGCTGGGACTACAGGCACACAGCACTGCACCCAGCTGATTTTTGTATTTTTTTTTAGAGATAGGGTTTCACCATGTTGGTCAGACTTGTCTCGAACTCCTGACCTTGTGATCCGCCCACTTCGGCCTCCCAAAGTGCTGGGATGACAGGCGTGAGCCACCGCGCCCGGCCCCCCCAAAGGCATTTTTCGTCTCTACTAAGCCCTCACACAAAATATACAAGTGTGTAAGTAAATTTCTCTTTCTATCATAAACATTGGCCTTGGCATAGGAACGTTAAGTAAAACTGAAAATGCAAATGAACCTTGACATTTTTAGTTTCAAATATTGCCCCCAAATTCAGCAAATTTCCAATTACTGTCGTTGCATGGTGGTATCCTCAGCAGATGGGTGCAGGACCCCCTGCAGATGCCAAAATCTGTGGATGCTCAAGTTCCTGATATACAATGGTGTAGCATTTGTTTATAACCTATGTACACCCTCCTATATGCTTTAACCCATTTCCCATTTAGAAAAAAAAAGTACTTGACTTGGTGTGGTGGCTCACGCCTGCAATCCCAGCACTTTGGGAGGCCGAGGCCGGTGGATCACTTGAGGTCAGGAGTTCGAGACCAGCCTGGCCAACATGGTTAACACCCGTCTCCACTATAAAAATACAAAAAATTAGCTGGATGTGGTGGCGAGCGCCTGTAGTCTCAGCTACTCGGGAGGCTGAGGCAAGAGAATAGCTTGAACCTGGGAGGCGGTTGCAGTGAGCCGAGATCACACCATTGCACTCCAGCCTGGGCGACAGAGCAAGACTCCGTCTCAAAACAAAACAAAAAAAAGAAAGCAAAAAAAGTGCAGCTCGCTGCCAGCACAGTATTCTCAGGGCAAGCAAGATATGAGTTAAGTAATCCCTAGATTGCTTATAATACTGGCTGGGCACGATGGCTCACGCCTGTAATCCCAGCACTTAGGGAGGCCAAGGTGGGTGGATAATGAGGTCAAGAGATCGAGACCATTCTGGCCAACATGGTGAAATCCTGTCTCCAGTAAAAACACAAAAATTAGCCAGGCGTGGTGGCACGCACCTGTAATCCCAGCTACTCGGGAGGCTGAGGCAGGAGAATCGCTTGAACCCAGGAGGTGGAGGTTGCAGTGAGCTCTGATCATGCCACCGCATTCCAGCCTGGTGACAGAGGGAGACTCCATATCAAAAAATATATATATTTAATATATATATCAAATCATATCCATATCAAAATATATAAATATATATACATGCATATATATGTATGTATACCTAAAACAGTGTAAGTACTGTGTAAATAAATAGTTGTTAACCTGTATTTTTTGTTTGCATTTTTTATTGTTGTGTTGTTATTTTTGTTGGTTTTTGTTTGTTTTTGAGATGGAGTCTCACTCTATAACCCCGGCTGGAATGTGGAGTGCAGTGGTGCAATCTTGGTTCACTGCAACCTCCACTTCCCTGGTTCAAGTGATTCTCATGTCCCAGCCTCCCGAGTATCTGGGATTACAGGTGTGCGCCACCACGCCTGGCTAATTTTTTTTCTGTGTTTTTAGTAGAGACGGGGCTTCACAATGTTGACCAGGTTGGTCTCGAACTCTCGACCTCAGGTGATCCGCCTACATTAGCATCCCAAAGTTCTGGGATTACAGGCGTCAGTTACTGTGCCCTTACTGTGTGTGTTTGTTTTGTTTTGTTTTACTTCAAATATTTTCTTCTTTTTTTTTTTTTGAGATGGAGTCTCACTCTGTTGCCCAGGCTGGAGTCCAGTGGCACCATCTCGGCTCACTGCAAGCTCCGCCTCCCCAGTTCACACCATTCTCCTGCCTCAGCCTCTTGAGTAGCTGGGACTACAGGTGCCCACCACCACGCCCGGCTAATTTTTTGTATTTTTAGTAGAGATGGGGTTTCACCGTGTTAGCCAGGATGGTCTCAATCTCCTGACTTTGTGATCCGCCCGCCTCGGCCTCCCAGAGTGCTGGGATTACAGGCGTGAGCCACTGCACCCGGCCTTACTTCGAATATTTTCTATTGTAGTTGGCTGAATCTGCAGATGTGGAACTCACAAATACAGAGGGCTGACTATAGATGAGAAACACATTATATTCAAGATTTACCACTTAAGAGTCCTTTCTCTAGGTGCTTATAGAGGTTGAGTATCCCTTGTCCCAAATGTTTGGAACCAGAAGTAGTTCAGATTTTGGATTTTGATATATCTGCGTATATATAATGAGATATCTTGGGGTTGGGACCCAAGGCTAAACATGAAATTCACTTATATATATATGTTTCATATATATCTTATACACCTAGCCTGATGGTAATTTTATACAATATTTTAAATAATTTTGTGCATGAAACAAAGTTTGTGTTAAGTACTTACGTGTGGAATTTTTCATTGTGGCATCGTGTGGGGGCTCAAAAAGTTTTGGATTTTGGATCATTTCAGGTATCGGATATTTGGATTAGGGATGCTCAACCTCTACAGTTTTTTAGTCCTAGCTGGGCGCCGTGACTCACACCTGTAATTCCAGCACTTTGGGAGGCTGAGGTAGGTGAATCACCTGAGGTCAGGAGTTTGATACCAACCTGACCAACATGGCGAAACCCCATCTCTACTAAAAATACAAAAATTAGCCAGGTATGGTGGTGCGTACCTGTAGTACCTGCTACTCGGGAGGCTGAGGCAGGAGAATCACTTGAACCTGGGAGGCAGAGGTAGCAGTGAGCCAAATTCGTGCCACTACACTCCAGCCTGGGCAACAGAGTGAGACTCTCAAAAAAAAAAAAAAAAAAAGAGTTTCTGATTTTGGAGCATTTCAGATGTCAGATATTTGGATTGGGGATGCTCAAAGTATATAGTTTTGGAGTCCTTTTGGCCCCACTGAATGACTCCTGTAAACTCAGATGCTGTCTTACCAACCTGTTTTGCACTCTCCTGATTTTTAGTAAGCTTTTTAACTGTAGAAATCACATAAAAAGCTTAAAGATTTTCATGAAGAAAATAGAATTTGCCTTCATTATTTTGGTTTTTTTCCCCATCTTTTTATTTCAAGCTTATAGAAAAGTCAAAAGAAGTTACAGTGATCTCCCGTTATACCTTTCATCTAGACTCACTATTAATGTCTGGCCATGTTTGGTTTTCTCTATACACGAGTGTATATAGGTATGCATCTGTATACGTGTACATGTATGTATGTGTGTTGTGTGTGTCTTTTTTTTTCCTGAACCTTTTGAAAGTAAGTTTGAGGAACAGTTACCAGGCTGCTGCAGTGATCTGTAAGTGGAAATGATGGTGTTTTGTGGTGTGAGGGTGTCATCGTAAGTGCTAGGAGGAGGCGAGTACAGGACATCTTAGGTGCATACAGGAGAGACTCCTAATGAGTCTTTTCTGGTATCCCCAAGAGGCTTCATGAAGACAGTGACTGGTAAACTGCAACCCAAAGGACTGTTTGGAATTAGCCAGGCAACAGGTGGAACAGAGCATTGCAGAGGAGAACATGCGTTTGAGGAAACTGCATGTAGATGTGTATGTCCAGATCATCCCAGGTTGAGATGAAAAAATGGGGAGCTGCTGCAGAAAGGAATGAGATTTTTTTTTTTTTTTTTTTGAGATGGACTCTGGCTTTCTCACCCAGGCTGGAGTGCAGTGGCACAATCTTGGCTCACTGCAACCTCTGCCTCCCAAGTTCAAGCAATTCTCCTACCTCAGCCTCCCAAGTAGCTGGATTACAGGCACCCAACACCATGCCCAGGTTATTTTTGTGTTTTTGAGTAGAGATGGGGTTTCGCCATGTTGGCCAGGCTGGTTTCCCAACTCCTGACCTCAGGTGTTCTGCCCATCTCAGCCTCCCTAAGTGTTGAGATTACAGGCGTGTGCCACTGCGCCTGACGGGAGTAGATCTTTTAAGCCAGGCTTAGGAATTGAGATTTTATTTTAAGGGCAATGGGGAGCCATTGAAGGTGTTGTTTGTTTGTTTTTTGAGATGGAGTTTTGCTCTTGTTGCCCAGGCTGGAGTGCAATGGCACGATCTTGGCTCACTGCAACCTCTGCCTCCCGGGTTCAAGCGATTCTCCTGCCTCAGCCTCCTGAGTAGCTGGGATTACAGGCATGCGCCACCATGCCCGGCTAATTTTGTATTTTTAGTAGAGGTGGGGTTTCTCCATGTTGGTCAGGCTGGTCTCGAACTCGCAACCTCAGGTGATCCACCCGCCTTGGCCTCCCATAGTGGTGGGATTACAGGAGTGAGCCACCACACCTGGCCCAGATTTACAATTTTTAAAGAATACTCTGACTGGAGGGTGAAGAAAGAATTGGAGAGAGGTCTGAGAAGAGGCAAGGGGGCCAGTTAGGATCCATGGGCAAGATGGTGGCAGTGAGAATGCAAAGAGGTAGATGAGATTTTCAGGAGAAAGACTTGACAGCACAGAACTAGATAGGGCGAGGTGAGGTAGAGATTGCAGAAAGTCAGAGGCGAGTCCCAGCTTTCTAGCTTGGGCAGCCGAGTGGGCGATGGAGCCCTTGACTAAGTAGCCAGGGAGGGAGGAGACACTGAGGTCAGTTGTGGGTGTGATTCGAAGTGCCTGTTGGAGATGGGTTAGAGATGTCTGGCTGGCCCCTCTGAGCTCCAGGATGGAGGCCTGGTTGGGAGGCAGTGCAGGCAAGTAACGCCCTGTGCCTTCTTCCCACACAGCCTCAGCCTCACCATGTGTGTCAGGAGCTGTTTCCAGTCCCCCCGTCTCCAGTGGGTGTGGAGAACAGCCTTCCTGAAACACACCCAGCGCAGGCACCAGGGGTCCCACCGATGGACACACCTTGGAGGCAGCACCTACAGAGCGGTGATTTTCGACATGGGCGGAGTTCTCATTCCTTCTCCAGGGAGAGTCGCTGCAGGTGAGCTATTGATTCTGTTTCACTTTGTGGGACTAGAGTGGTGGTGGGAGAATGGAGGGTGATCGGGAAGGCAGAGGGGAACACTTGGGCAGCAGTGTGTCCCAGCAGGCCATGCTCTGGCTCTCGAGTCGAATTCCAAGCACCACTAGGGGGCTGAGTGTCTTGGGCGCATGATTCAGCTTCTCCAAATCTTACTTTCCTCATCATTAAATGAGCTAATGGTAGTGCCTTCCTCCTTGGGATTTGGCGGAGAGTTATCCGTGGGAAGCACTTGCTTAGCACAGTGATTGCTCAGTGCATCCTAAATTCTCAATCAATGATGAGCTGCCATGAATGCTGTGATTAGAATTTAACCACCAAGGCAGGGCACAGTGGCTGAAGCCTGTAATCCCAGCACTTTTGGAGGCCGAGGTGAGAGGGTCGTTTGAGCCCAGGAGTTCAAGACCAGCCTGAGCAACATAGTGAGACCCCGTATCTGCAGAAATTTAAAAATTATCTGGGCATGATGACAGGCACCTGTAGTTCTAGCTACTCAGGAGGCTGAGGTCGGAGGATCACATGAATCCAGGTGGTTGAGGCTGTAGTCAGCCGTGATCATGCCACTGCACTCCAGCCTGGGTAACAGAGCAAGACCCTTACTCAAAAACAAACAACCAAAAATCCCAAAGAATTTAACCACTTCTTCTTGGGAACTGTTCTACTTCTGAAATCTAGAATGCTGAAATTCCCCTTTTGATTACAGCCTTCCTCCCTTCTACCCCACTCCCTCTAAACCTGCTTCTGGACTGACAGGGTAAGGGTCAGCCCTCTGGTCTCTGGTCTTCTCTTTACCAGCCCCTTCCTGGTTTTACTTCTTTTCTACTCAGTTCAGTTTTTATTAGTTAAAGTCGTTTTGGCTTCAAGCAGTAGAAAACCTAACAAAACAGTGACTGAAACAAGCTAGAAGTTTCTTTCTCTTGCACATAAAAGCCCAGGTATGTGGTCTGGGGCACTGTGTGATGCGACTCTGTGGTATCAGGGACTCCGACTCTTTATAGCATGTTGCTCTGCTGTGACTTTTCATTTCCACTCTTACATTGTGGTCTGTCTTGGCTGTGTCGCCTCCTGCTATCATATTCTCATGCCAGCCAGCAGGAAGGACAAAGGGCCAGGCAGCCATCCCTCTCCTTTTGACCTTCTGTGGTGGCTGGTTGGCCAGTTCTCCATCCTAAATCAACCCAGGCACAGGTTTTCTATGCCTGCGTGTCTAGGCTTTCCAGCACTGCTGACCAAATTACTCAGCCGTGCTAACTGGCTGCACAAGCTGGTTTCTGAGCTCCAGCCTCAGTTGGGCCATTGGTGCTACGCCTGAGCCTCTCTGTTCCTTCACTCTTATCTCTCTGTTCCTTCACTCGTATCTCTGTCATGTTTACCTCAGGGGCTGTTCCAGACTGTCCACTCCCCCTGCTCCTTACCACCCCCAAATATTCTTGCTCTGCAGATAGCTGAATCTGTTCTTCTACAAAGAACATAAAGACTAAACCTGAGCAACACAGTGAGACCCTATGGTGAGCTAGGATTGCACCACTGCACCCCAGACTGGCACAACAGTCTTTTTTAGAGAACCTGTCTCTAAAAAAAAAGGCAGCAGGGAAGAACATAAAGATCACTGGACAGAAAGTTTCTTGACTTTCTCTAGAATATCTTAAGAACCAATTCACTTCTCTCCATTGCCACTGCCTCCACCCTTGCCTTCTCTCACCCAAATGATGTCATCAGCCTCCTAACTTCCTCTGCCTCTGGCTCTCTGGATTTTACAAAATCTCCTCCCAGCTCCAGAATTAACCTTTCTAAAACATGGATCGTGCTTCTGCGCTTAGCAGCTCACACCTGTAATCTCAGCAATTTAGGAGGCCGAGGTGGGCAGATCGCTTGAGCACAGGAGTTCAAGACCAGCCTGGCCAACCTGGTGAAACCTTGTCTCTACGAAAAATACAAAAAGCGTACCTGGGCATGGTGGTGCATGGATGTAGTCCCAGCTACTTGAGGGGCTGCGGTGGGAGGAACTCTTTAGCCTGGGCGATTGAGGCTGCAGTGAGCTGAGATTGCACCACTGCACTCCAGCCTGGGTGACAAAGTGAGACCCTGTCACAAAATAATAAATAAAATAAAAATAAAGCATAGATCTTGTTCCTTTCATCCCTGGCTTGAAAATCTTGAATGCCTGCATGTGGTCCCCTAGATTAAGTCTAGAAGCTTTCACCTGGGATTCAGGGCTCCTCTCAGTTTTAGCTTTCCTGCTATGGACTACCTGATGCTCCCCAGGCATGCCAGGCACATTTGCATGTTTGTGCCTTTGCAAGCTGTGTTTCCTCCCTGCCTCCTCTGCCTGTTCAAATCCTACTGATGCTTTTAATGGCAAATTTAAGGGGATATTATTCAGCAATGACTGGAATCTTTTGAACACTCAGTAAATCTCATGGTTGTTACTAACTTCAAGAGTCCTCTTCTGTCAAGACTTCTCCAACCTCATTTGCAACCTGGGCAGAATGTTCCTGGATAGCCAATTCCCATTAAGTTTCACCTTCACCGAGATATTTTTGTTTGCAGTGGGATATGTTCATGTCTCCTCTATGGGGCTCTTGGATTCCAGGACCCCAGGTCTGGGATTTCTTCACTTCACTGTTGCAGTGTTAGCTCTGCAGGCTGGCTCAGTCATTCAGGAAATGTTTGATGGGTAAATGTGAACAAAATAGTGATGCCTTCTACTTTGTCTTTTGCTTGACTGGAGCTTCTAATGTTATTTATTTCAAATGAACCATATCAAGGGTCATTTGATAAGAATATACTAGAATTGGCCAGGTGCGGTGGCTCATGCCTTTAATCTCAGCACTTTGGGAGGACGAGATGGGCGGATCACTTGAGGTCATGAGTTTGAGACCAGCCTGGCCAACATGGCAAAATCCAATCTCTACTAAAAATTCAAAAATAAGCGGGGCATGGTGATGGGCACCTGAAATTGCAGCTACTCTGGAGGCTGAGCAGGGAGAACCACTTGAACCCGGGAAACAGAGGTTGCAGTGAGCTGAGATCATACCATTGCGCTGCAGCTTGGGAGACAGAGCAAGACTCTGTCTCAAAAAAAAAAAAAGTATATATATATATACACTAGAATTACTGTACTATACTATTTTTTTTTTTCTTGAGATGGGATCGCGCTCTGTTTCTTAGGCTGGAGTGCAGTGGTACAATCATGGCTCACTGCAGCCTGAAACTCCTGGGCTCAAGCAATCCTGCCTCAGGCTCCCAAGTAGCTGGGACTACAGGTGTTTGCCACTATGCCTAATTTTTGTTTTTTATAGAGATGGGGTCTTGCTATGTTTCTCAAGCTAGTGTCGAACTCCCGGGCTCAAGTGATCCTCCTGCCTTGGCCTCTTGAGTCATTGGAATTACAGGTGTGAGTTACCATGCCTCACCTGCTGTCTGTTTTTGTATGGCCTGTCAGCCAAGAATGACTTTTATGTTTTGAAATACGTAATTGAAAAATATCAAAACAAGAATAATATTTTGTGACATGTGAAAATTATGTGAAGTTCATATTTCAATGTCCATAAAAATGAAATTTTTTAGAAAACCATCTTGCCCATTTGTTTACATATTGTCCATGACTGCTTTTACCCTGTACTGGCAGAGTTGAGTAATTTCAACAGGGTCCGTAATGCTTTCAAAGCCTAAAATATTTACCATCTGGCCCTTTTCAGAAAAGCTTGATTTAAGCTGTTAGTTTACTATAAAATTAGTACGCACAACAAAGAATTCAAAGTATAGCCCAAACATTTTAGTTTTTTTATTTTTTATTTTACTTTATTTTTCTCCAAGAATGCATTTTCAGACCAAAGCTCAAACACTTTAAGATTGAATTTAGGCCGGGCACAGTAGCTCACGCCTGTAATCCCAGCAGTTTGGGAGGCCAAGGCAGGTGGATCACGAGGTCAGGAGATTGAAACCATCTTGGCTAACGTGGTGAAACCCCGTCTCTACTAAAAATACAAAAAATTAGCCAGGCGTGGTGGCAGGTGCCTGTGGTCCCAGCTACTTGGGAGGCTGAGGCAGGAGAATGGCGTGCACCCAGGAGGCAGAGCTTGCAGTGAGCCTAGATGGCACCACTGCACTCCAACCTGGGCGATACAGCGAGACTCCGTCTCAAAAAAAAAAAAAAATTGGGCATGGTAGTCCATGCCTGTAATCCCAGATACTCGGGAGACTGAGGCAGGAGAATTGCTGGAACTCGGGAGGCAGAGGTTGCAGTGAGCCAAGATAGCACCACTGCACTCCAGCCTGGGTGACAGATCAAGACTCCGTCTTGGGAGAAAAAAAAAATTGAATTCAGAGGGTATAATGATTTCGAAACTTCAAAATGTTTGACTTTAAAATTTTTGTTAGTGTGATAGATGAAAATTCCATCTTTGTGGTTTCTTTTCTTTTCCTTTTTTTTTTTTTTTTGAGACAGAGCATCATTCCATTGCCCAGGCTAAAGTGCAGTGGCGTGATCTTGGCTCACTGCAACCTCCATCTCCCGGGTTCAAGCAATTCTCGTGCCTCAGCCTCCCAAGTAGCTGGTATTACAGGTGTGTGCCACCATGCTTGGCTAATTTTTGTATTTTCAGTAGAGACAGGGTTTCGCCATGTTGACCAGGTTGGTCTCTCTCTTTTTTTTTTTTTTTTTTGAGACAGAGTCTTGCTCTGTCGCCCAGGTTGGAGTACAGTGATGCTATCTCAGCTCACTGCAAACTTCGCCTCCCGGGTTCACACCATTCTCCTGCCTCAGCCTCCCGAAGTAGCTGGGACTGCAGGCATCCACCACCACGCCCTGCTAATTTTTTGTATTTTTATTAGAGACAGGTTTCACTGTGTTAGCCAGGATGATCTCAATCTCCTGATCTGGTGGTCCGCCCGCCTTGGCCTCCCAAAGTGCTGGGATTATAGGTGTAAGCCACTGGGCCTGGCCTTTTTTTTCCTGTTATTTTAATGTTCATTTGCCTGATTGCAACTGAGGTTGCGCCTTTTTTTTTTTTTTTTGAGTCGGAGTCTCACATTTGCCTGATTGCAACTGAGGTTGCGCCCTTTTTTTTTTTTTGAGTCGGAGTCTCACTCTGTCACCCAGGCTAGAGTGCAGTGCTGTGATCTCGGCTCACTGTAACCTCTGTCTCCCTGGTTCAAGCTATTCTCCTTCCTCAGCCTCTCGAGTAGCTGGGACTACAGGTGTGCACCACCACACCTAGCTAATTTTTTATATGTTTTTAGTAGAGATGGGGTTTCACCATGTTGGCCAGGCTGGTCTTGAACTCCTGACCTGAAGTGACTTGCCTGCCTCAGGGTTCCAAAGTGCTGGGATTATAGGCACAAGCCACTGCATCTGGCCTTTTTTTTTTTTTTTTTCAGAGAGCATCTTGCTGTATGGCCCAGGCTGTCAGGCTGGTCTCGAACTCCTAGTCTAAAGTGATTCTCCCGCCTCCTGAGTAGTGAGCCTTTTTTTTTTTTTTTAATATTATTGGTCATTCAGTTTTTCCGTGAATTGCTCACTTTTCTTGTTGATTTTCAGTAAACCTTTTTTTTTTTGAGACAGACTTTTGCTCTTGTTGCCCAAGCTGGAATGTAATGGTGCAATCTTGGCTCACCACAACTTCTGCCTCCCAGGTTCAAGCGATTCTCCTGCCTCAGCCTCCTGAGTAGCTGGGATTACAGGCATGCACCACCACCCCTGGCTAATTTTGTATTTTTAGTAGAGACGGAGTTTCTCCACGTTGGTCAGGCTGCTCTCGAACTCCCTACCTTAGGTGATTGCCCGCCTTGGCCTCCCAAAATGCTGGGATTACAGGCATGAGCCACTGCGCCCGGCCGGTCATAACCGTTTATCTGTTACATGATTTGCAAATATTTTCTCCCTTTTATGCCTTGTCTTTTGATTTTATTGATAATGCTTTTAGCTGTACCAAAGTTTTCTTTTTCTTCCTTTCTTTTTGAAACGGAATTTTACTCTGCCACTCAGGCTAAAGTGCAGTGGAGTGACCTCGGCTCACTGCAACCTCTGCCTCCCAGGCTCAAGCTATCCTCCCACCTCAGCCTCACAGGTAGCTGCACTATAGGCTCGCACCACCACACCTGGCTAATTTTTGTATTTTTTGTAGAGATGGGTTTTCACCATGTTGCCCAGGCTGGCCTTGAACTTGGGAGCATAAACAATCTGCCCACCTCTGCCTCTGCCTCCCAAAGTGCTGGGATTTTAGCCATGAGTCACCACGCCCAGCCTTCTATATTATTTTCTAAGTTTTAGAATTTTGTTTTTCTGACTTGGATATTTACTGTATTGGGAATTTGTTTTGTGATGGCCTGAAAGATGATTTAACTTAATTTCTATTCCATATTGAAACCTAGTTATGCCAACCCCATTTATTGAATAGTCACTGCTAAAAGAGCATAAAATACAGATAAAATTTCCTGCTGCCACCTCGACCCTTTCCCAGTTGGTTCCAGACTTAAGTGGTTATCATTGTGAAAAGTTTCTTGTTTATTTTTGAAAAATTGCCCGTGTGTGTTGGGGGTGGGTGTGGGGGGCATATACAAATTGGATCATATGCTGTAGACTGTTCCATAGCTTTTTTTTGACTCAGTATGATATTTTGCCATCTTTTTCATATCAGTTGGCATATGTCTAGGATCTAGTTTGGAGGTTAGTAAACTTTTTCTATAAAGGGCTAGACATGGTGGATGTGATGGCTTATGGCTACGATCCCAGCACTTTGGGAGGCCGAGGTGGGAGACTGTTTGAGGCCAGGAGTTTGAGACTAGCCTGGGCAACATAGTGAGATCCCCATTTCTACAAAAAATAAAAAAATTAGCTGGGCATGGTAGCACGCACCTGTAATCCCAGCTACTCAGGAGGCTAAGGCAGAAGGATCACTTGATCCTGGGAGCTTGAGGCTGCAGTGGGCCATGACTGTGCCACAGCTCCCCAGCCTGGGCAACAGCAAGACCCCATCTTAAAAAACAAAAATAAAGAAGGGCTAGATAGGCTTTGTGAGCCATACTCTCAGTCACAACTATTCACTTCTACCATTGCAGCAAGAAAGCAATAATAGACAATAGTAAACAAGTGTGGTTGTGTTCCAATAAGACTTTATTTACGAAAATAGGTAGAGCCAGGCATGCTGGTGTGTGCCTGTAGTTCCAGCTACTAGGGAGGCTGAGGTGAAGGTTCATTTGAGCCCAGGAGTTTGAGGCCAGCCTGGGCAACACAGCAAGACCCCATCTCTTAAAAAAATAGATAGGAGACAGATTTGGCCCCAAGCCATATTTTGCTGACCTTTGGGCAAGTTTATATGTTTTAACATCTGTGTGGTATTCCGTTATATGAATATATCATAATTGATGTAATAAACACCTTATTAGTATACATTTAACTTTTCTAGTTCTTTTTATTATGAGCAATTCTGCACAAACAACCTTGTACATAACCTTTGCTTACTTTCATAAATATATATGGAAGAAATTTCTGAAAGTAGAATTACTACGTCAAATGTATGTGCATTTCAGATTTTGACAGAAATTATCAAATTGCTGTCTGCAGAGGTTGTGCTTGTTTACGCTCCCGTCAACAGCATATGATGGTGCCGGTTTCCTCACATGCTTGCCAACTCCGAGACTGTGAAAAATGCTATATGCTTTAGCTCTAAAATTAAAGTATTTTTTGGATTGAGTTTTAAAAGTCTTGTTATTTTCAAAGGACATATACCAGATTGTTAACATTAGTTATTTCTGAAAGAAGATAGGACTGCTTGTCCTTTTACTTTCCTTCCTTCCTTCCTTCCTCTTCTTTTTTTTTTTTTTTTTTTTTTTTTAAGACATGGGGTCTTGCTCTATGTCCCTAGGCTGCAGTGCGGTGGCACCATCATAGCTCATTGCAGCCTCAAACTCCTGGGCTTAAGCGATCCTTCCACCTCAGTTTCCCGAGTAGCTAGAATTACAGGTGCAACCCATCACGCCAAGCTAATTTTTAAATTTTTTCTAGAGACAGGGTTTAATCATGTGGCCCAGGCTGGTATCAGACTCCTAGCCTCAAGCGATCCTCCCATTTTGGCCTCCCAAAGTGCCGGGATTATAGGTGTGAGCTACTGCACCCAGCCTACTTTCTTTTGCATAGTTTTCTATGAAATATATTGTCTGAAAAATTTTCAATGCACAGACACTACTTTATCAGAAAAAAACAACAAAGGTGTTTTAATTCCAAAACAAAAGCTATATGTAAAGTGTATTTTGTCTTAGATATATAATTATGAATGTTGTATGTATATATTTGCCCCCAGCATCTGTATTATAGACAGAAAAAGCAACTGTGGATGAGGAGAAACAGTCCTTGCACAAATGTTCCCAGTATTCTACAGATGCTGATGCTGATCCATCCACTGCCTTAGCTCTTTGTGGACAGAAATTTCCTTCTTGGCCAGGCACAGTGGCTCACACCTGTAATCACACACAGTACCTTGGGAGGCCCGAGGCAGGCAGGCAGATCACCTGAGGTCAGGAGTTTGAGATCAGCGTGGCCAACATGGCAAAACCCTGTCTCTACTGAAAATACAGAAATTAGCCAGGCTTGGTGGTGCACGCCTATAATCTCAGCTACCTGGGGGGCTGAGGCACGAGAATCAGTTGTACCTGTGAGGTGGAGGTTGCAATGAGCTGAGATTGTACCACTGCACTCTAGCCTGGGTGACTGAGTGAGGCTTTTTCTGAAAAAAAGAAGAAATTTGCTTCCTTATCCACAAAGACAGCATTTCAGGCGAACATTTCAGTGTACTCACTCCATGCTGTGAAGAATTACTATAGCCTATAGAAGGAAGGGCATGTTCTAGGGGCCACCAGGATCTGGCTTCTTCCTTCATGTGCTTCCATAGTCTCTGCCAGGTCCAGGTAAGTGACCTAACATATGGTCCAGTGAATATGAGATCAAGGAATAAAATTCATCATGCAGTGCCCGGAGTCCTCTCAAGCAACCACTGAGGATCTGATGCTTCACAGCAGTGTGCTCTCTGTTGTACACATTAGCATTGCTCTTCCTCTGGGGGTCTAAGGTTGAGATTTTGCATTTTGTGAATGTCTGCAAATTTCCAACAGCATCCACCCTGGCAGTACAGCGAGTCCGTAGGAACTGGTATGGTAATTTTCCTGAGCTCCCTAAACCCCAGCATGTATCAATGTATTCCACTTTTGCATATTTTGCTTCCTATAGAATGGGAGGTACAGAATCGTATCCCTTCTGGAACTATATTAAAGGCCTTGATGGAAGGTGGTGAAAATGGGCCCTGGATGAGATTTATGAGAGCAGAAATAACAGCAGAGGGTTTTTTACGAGAATTTGGGAGACTTTGCTCTGAAATGGTGAGTGGTAAACATACCTACATTTCCATATTTTTCTTTTTGCCTTGAGTAGTGGTTGCAACATTCATGTATAAGTTAGTTAAACTGAAAATAAAGTGAAACCTAATAACCCATTACATGTTTTAAAGTTATTTCTTAGGCCAGGCGCAGTGGCTCATGCCTATAATCCCAGCACTTTGGGAGGCCCAGGGGGTGGATCACCTGAGGTCAGGAGTTCGAGACCAGCCTGGCTAACATGGTGA